>NT_187384.1:234891-280839 GCF_000001405.40 Homo sapiens | reverse complement strand
CCCTCCACTCCACTCGACTCTGCTCCTTTCCACTCCACTCAACTCCATTCCACTCCATTCCCTTCCACTGCAATCAACACCCTTACACTCCACTCCACTATATTCCATTCCATTCCATTCTACAACTTTCCACTCCAGGCCACTACACTCCAATCCATTCCATCCCATTCCATTCCACTCTATTCCACTCCATTCTACTCCATTCCACTCCACCGCACTACAATCCACTGCATTCCATTACATTCCATTGAAAATCCATTCCATTCCATTCCTTTCTTCCAACAGGAACTCACTCTGTCACCAAGGCTGGAGTGCAGTGCATAATCTCAGCTCACATTTCATTACACCTTTCCATTCCATTCCATTCCATTCCATTCCAATCCATTCCATTCCATTCCTTTGAATTCCATTCCATTCATTCCATTCCATTCCATTCTACTCCACTCCACCCCACTCCACTCCATTCCACTCCACTCCATTCTACTCCACTCCATTCCAATCCAATCAACTCCACTCCACTCCATTCAACTCCATTCCATTCCATTTCATTCTACACCTTTCCACTCCACTCCACACTGTTCCATTCGATCCCATTCCATTCCACTTCATTCCACTAAACTCCATTCCACCCCACTCCACTCCACTCCATTCCATTCCATTCCATAACAATCCATACCACTCCATTCCATTCCACTCCACTACACTCTATTCCATTCCATTCCATTCCATTCCATTCTAAGTCCATTCTATTCCATTCCTTTCTTTCGACAAGATCTCACTCTGTCACGCAGGCTGGAGTGCAGTGCACAATCTCAACTCATATTTCATTTCACCATTCCATTCCATAACAATCCATACCACTCCATTCCATTCCACTCCACACCACTCCAATCCACTACACTCCATTCCATTACATTCCATTCTAAGTCCATTCCATTCCAGTCCATTCTATTCGACTCCATTCAATTCCATTCCATTCCATTCGATATCTTTCCATTACACTCAATTCCATTCTATTCCTTTCCAATCCTTTCAATTCCATTTCATTCGATTCCATTCCATCTGATTCCATTCCATTCGACTCCATTCCATTCCATTTTATTCTGTTCCGTTTGATTCCAATCCGTTCGATTCCATTTTTTTCAAGTCCAATCCATTCGAGTCCACTCCATTCCAATCCATACCATTTGATTCCATTCCATTTTATTCTGTTCCGTTTGATTCCAATCTGTTCCATTCCATTTTTTTCAAGTCCAATCCATTCGAGTCCATTCCATTCCAATCCATACCATTTGATTCCATTCCATTCAATTCCATTCCATTCGATTCCAATCCACTCGATTCCACTCCGTTCCATTCCTTTGCATTCCATTCAATTCCATTCCATTGCTTTCCATTCCATTCCATTTGATTCCATTCCATTCTATTCCATTCCATTCGATTCAATTACATTGCAATGCATTACATTCGAGTCCCTTCTCTTCCACTCCATTCCGTTCCGGTCCAGTCCATTTGATTTCTTTCCATTCGATTCCATTCCATACTATTGCATTCCATTCGATTCCATTCTATTCGAATAAATTCCTTTCGAGACAATTCCTTTCCAGTCCATTTTATTTGAGTCCATTCCATTCCAGTCCATTCCATTTCAGTCCATTCCATTCCATTCCATTCCATTCCATTCGATGCCACTCCATTCGATTCTATTAAATTCTAGTACATTCCGTTAGAATCCACTCCTTTCCATTCCACTCCATTCATTGCCATTCCATTCGATTCTATTCCCTTCGTCTCCATTCCATTCCATTCCATTCCATTTCTTTCGAGTCCATTCCTCTCCAGTCCATTCAATTCAAGTGTTTCCATTCCAGTCCATTCCATTCGTGTCCACTCCATTCCATTCCATTCCATTCGATGTCTTTCCATTATACTCCATTCCATTCTCTTTCTTTCATTTAAATTCAATTCCATTCTATTCGATTGCATTCCATTTGATTCCATTCCATTCGACTTCATTCCACCTGAGTCCATTTCATTCCATGCCATTCCATTCCATTCCATTCCGTTCGATTCCAATCCGTTGGATTCCATTTTTATCCAGTCCATTCCATTCGAGTCCATTTCATTCCAGTCCATTACATTGGATTCCATTCCATTCGATTCCATTTAAATCAATTCCACTCCATTCCATTCTATTGCATTCCAATCTATTCTATTCCATTGCATTCCATTCCATTCAGTTTGATTCCATTCCAAGTGATTCCATTCCATTCGACTCAATTACATTGTAATTCATTACATTCGAATCCATTCTATTACAGTCCATTGCATTCTGGTCCATTCCATTCAATTCCATTCCATTCGATTCCATTCCATACTATAGCATTCCATTCGAATCCATTCTATTCGAGTCAATAACATTCGAGACCATTGCTTTCAAGTCCATTCTATTTGAGTCCATGCCATTTGAGTCCATTGCATTTGGGTCCATTCCATTCCATTCCATTCCATTCCATCCCATTCCATTCCATTCCATTCCATTCCATTCGATGCCATTCCATTCGAATCTATTGCATTTGGGTCCATTCCATTCCATTCCATTCCATTCCACTGAATTCCATTCCATTCCATTCCATCTGACTCCATTCCATTCTATTCCAATGCATTCCATTCCATTCAATTCCATTCGTTTCCATTCAATTCTAGTCCATTCCATTCGATTCCATTCGATTCCAGTCCATTCCATTCGAGTCCATTCCTTTCCATACCATTGCAATCGATATCTTTCCATTAAACTCCATTCCATTCTATTCCTTTTGATTTCATTCAATTCCATTCCATTCGATTCCATTCCATTTGATCCCCTTCCATTCGAGTCCATTCCATTCCATTCCATTCCATTCTGTTCGATACCAATCCATTCGATTCTATTTTGTTCCAGTCCACTCCATTCGAGTCCATTCAATTAAAGTCCATTCCATTCGATTCCATTCCACTCGATTCCACTCCGTTCCATTCCATTGCATTCCATTCTATTCCATTCCATTGCATTCCATTCCATTCCATTTGATAATATTCCATACGATTCCATTCCATTCAAATCAATTACATTGCAATCCATTACATTTGAGTTCACTCTATTTCAGTCCATTCCATTCCAGTCCAATCCATTCGATTCCATTCCATTCAATTCCATTCCATACTATTGCATTCTATTCGATTCCATTGTATTCTAATAAATTCCAATCGAGACCATTGCTTTCGTGTGCATTCTATTTGAGTCCATTCCATTTGAGTATATTACATTTGGGTCCTTTCCACTCCATTGCATTTCATTTCATTCCATTCCATTCAATGACATTCCATTCAATTCTATTCCATTCGAATAAATTCCATTCGATTCCATTCCATTCCATTGCATTTCATTCCATTCAATGCCATTCCATTCGATTCTATTCCATTAGACTCCATTCTATTCCATTCCATTCCATCCGATTCCATTCCATTCTGTTCTTTCCATTCCATTCCATTCTATTCCATTCCATTCCATTCTTTTCCAATCCATTAGAGTCCATTCCACTCCAGTCTTTTCCATTCAATTCCATTTCCTTCCTGTCCATTCCATTCCATTCCATTCCATTCTGTATATTTCCATTACACTCCATTCCATTCTATTCCTTGCGATTCCATTCAATTCCATGCCATTCTATTCCATTCAATTTGATTCCATTCCATTTGACTCCATTCCTTTCGAGTCCATTAAATTCCATTCCATTACATTCCATTTCGTTAGATTCCAATCAATTCCATTCCATTTTGTTCCAGTCCATTCCTTTCGATTCCATTCCATTTGATTCCATTCCATTTGATTCCATTCCATTCAATTCCATTCCCTTCTATTCCATTCCACTCTATTCCACTCTGTTCCATTTCAGTGCATTCCAATCTATTCCATTCCATTGCATTCCATTCCATTCTATTTGATTACACCTCATTTGATTCCATTCCGTTTGAATCAATTACATTGAAATCCATTGTATTCGAGTCCCTTCTATTTCAGTCCATTCCATTCCAGTCCATTCCATTCGATCCAGTTCCATTTGATTCCATTCAATACTGTTGCATTACATTAGATTCCATTCTATTCGAATGAATTCCATTCGAGATCATGGCTTTCGAGTCCATTCCATTAAAGTCCATTACATTCGAATCCATTATATTTGGGTCCATTCCATTGAATTCCATTCTGTTCCATTCCATTCATTTTCATTCCATTAGATTCCATTCCATTTGAGTCCATTCCATTGCATTCCATTCGAATTCATTACATTCAATTCTATTCCATTCGACTCCATTCCCTTCCATTCTGTTAAATCCGAATCCGTTCCATTCTATTCCATTCCATTCCATTCCTTTCCATTCCATTCCATTGCATTCCATTCTTTTCCATTCCATTCGAGTCAATTCTACTCCAGTCCATTCCATTCGAGTCCTTTCCATTCCAGTCCATTCCATTCGAGTCCATTCCATTCCATTCCATTCCATACATTTCCATTACACTCCATTCCAGTCTATTCCTTTCGTTTCCTTTCATTTCCATTCCATTTGATTGCATTCCTTTTGATTCCATTTCATTCGACTCCATTCTGTTCGAGTCCATTCCATTCCATTCCATTTGATTCCAATCCATTCGATTCCATTTTATTCCAGTCCATTCCATTTGATTCCACTCCATTACAGTCAATTCCATTGGATTCCATTCCATTTGATTCCATTTCATTCGATTCCATTCCACTCAATTCCCCTCCGTTCCATTCCATTGCATTCCATTCTATTCCATTCCATTGCCTTCCCTTCTATTCCATTGTATTACATTCCATTGGATTCCATTCCATTCGAGTAAATTACATTGCAATCCATTCCATTCGTGTCCGTTCTGTTCCAGTCATTTCCATTCCAGTCCATTAAATTCGATTCCATTCCATTCGATTCCATTCCATTTGAATCAATTACATTGCAATCCATTACATTCGAGTCCTTTCTATTCCAGTCCATTCCATTCTGGTCCATTCCATTCGATTCCATTCCATACTATTGCATTCCATTCCATTCCTTTCTATTCGAATAAGTTCCATTCGAGACCATTCCTTTAAAATCCGTTCTATTTGAGTCCATTCCAATCGATTCCATTACATTTAGGTCCATTGCATTCAATTCCATTCCATTCTATTCCATTCGAATCCAGTCCATTCGTGTCCATTCCATTCTGTTCCACTCCATTCAAAGCCATTCCATTCAATTCTATTCCATTCGACTCCATTCCATTCGATTCGATTCCATTCCATTCCATTCCATTCTGTTCGATTCCAATCTATATGATTCCATTTTTTCCATTCCATTCCAATGGGGTCCATTACATTCGATTCCATTCCAGTGGATTCCATTTCATTCGATTCCATTCAACTCGATTCCACTCCGTTCCATTTGATTGCATTCCATTCTATTCCATTCCATAGCGTTACATTCCATTCCATTTGACTACATTCCAACCGATTCCATTCCATTCATATCAATTACATTGAAATCCATTACATTTGTGTTAGTTCTATTCCAGTCCATTCCAGTCCGGTCCATTCCATTCAATTCCATTCCCTTCGATTCCATTCCATACAGTTGCATTCCATTCAATTCCATTCAAATGGAATAAATTCATTCGAGACTATTCCTTTTGAGTCCATTGTATTTGAACCCATTCCATTCGTGTCCATTACATTTGGGTCCATTCCATTCCATTCCATTCCATTCCTTTCCATTCGAAGCCTTTCCATTCTGTTCTATTCCATTCGAGTCCATTCCTTTCCATTCCATTCCATTCCATTCAATGCCATTCCATTCTATTCTACTCCATTTGACTCCATTCCATTCCATTCCACTCCATCCGATTCCATTCCATTCTATTCCATCCCATTCCATTCCATTCGTGTCCATTCCACTCCAGTAAAGTCCATTCGAATCCATTCCATTCCAGTCCATTCCATTCGGGTCCATTCCATTCCAATCGATATCTTTCCATTACACTCCATTCCATTGTATTACATTCCATTCAATTCTTTCCATTACACTCCATTCCTTTCTATTCCTTTCGATTCCATTCAATTCCATTCTATTCAATTCCATTCCATTCGTTTCCATTCCATTCATCTCCATTCCATTCATCTCCATTCCATTCGAGTCCATTCCATTCCATTTCATTCCGTTCCATTCAATTCCAATCCATTCGATTCCATTTTTTTCCTGTCCATTCCATTTGAGTCCATTCCGTTCCAGTACATTCAATTTGATTCCATTCCATTAAATTCCATTCCACTCAATTCCACTCCGTTCCATTCCATTGCATTCCATTCTATTCCATTCCATTGCATACCGTTCGATTCCATTTGATTACATTCCATTTGATTCCATTCCATTCAAACAAATTATATTGCAATCCATTAAATTGGAGTCCGTTCTGTTCCAGTCCATTCCGTTCCATTGCAATCCATTCGTATCCATGCCTCTCAAGTCCATTCCATTCTAGTCCATTCCATTCCAATCTATTCCATTCGTGTCCTTTCCATTCCATTTGATATCTTTCCTTTACTGTCCATTCCATTCTACTCCTTTCGATTACATTCAATTCCATTCCATTGGATTCCATTCCATTTGAATCCATTCCATTCAACTCCATTCCATTCGAGTCCATTCTATTCCATTCCATTCCATTCCATTCCAATCCGTTCGATTCCATTTTTTTCCAGTCCATTCCATTCGAGTCCACTCCATTCCAGTCCATTCCATTCGATTCCATTCCTTTCGATTCCATTCCACTCTATTCCACTCCGTTCCATTCCATTGCATTCCTTTCTATTCCATTCAATTGCATTCCATTACATTCCATTTGATTACATTACTTTCGATTCCATTCCATTTGAATCAAATACATTGGAATCCATTACATTCGAGTCCTTTCTATTCCAGTGTCCTTTCTATTCCAGTGCATTCCATTGCGGTATATTCCATTCAATTCCATTCCATACTATGGCATTCCATTCGATTCCATTCTATTTGAATAAATTCCATTCGAGGCCATTGCTTTCAAGTCCATTCTATTTGATTCCATTCCATTCGAGTCCATTTCATTTGGGTCAATTCCATTCCATTCGATACCATTCCATTCTATTCTATTCCATTCGAGTCCATTCCATTCGAGTCCATTCCATTCCATTAGTTTCCGTTCCATTCTATGTCATTCCATTATATTCTATTCCATTCGACTCCATTCAATTCCATTCTGTTCCATCCAATTCCATTATATTGTATTCCTTTCAATTCCATTCCATTCCATTCGTTTACATTCCATTTCCGTCCATTCCACTGCAGTCTATTCCATTCGAGTCCATTCCATTCCAATCCATTACGTTTGAGTCCATTCCATTCCATTCCATTCCATTCGATATCTTTCCATTACACTCCATTCCATTCTATTCCTTTTGAATGCATTCAATTCCTTTCTATTAGATTGCATTCCATTAGATTGCATTCCATTCGTCTCCATTCCATTCCAGTCCATTACATTCGATTCTATTCCATTCGATTCCATTCCACTCAATTCCACTCTGTTCCATTCAATTGCATTCCATTCTATTCCATTCCAATGCATTCCATTCAATTCCATTTGTTTACATTGCATTCGATTCCATTCCATTCGAATCAATTACATTCCAATCTTTTACATTCGAGTCCATTCTATTCCAGTCAATTCCATTCCGTTCCATTCAATTCGATTCCATTCCATTCGATTCCATTTCATTCTATTGCATTCCATTTGATTCCATTCTATTCGTATAAATACCATTCGAGACCATTGCTTTTGAGTCCATTCTATTTGAGACCATTCCATTCGAGTCCATTGCATTTGGGTCCATTCCATTCCATTCCATTCCTTTCCATTCCATTCCATTCGAATCCATTAGATTCGAGTCCATGCCATTCCATTCCATTCCATTCGATGCCATTGCATTCGATGCCATTCCTTTGAATTTTATTCCTTTTCACCCCTTTCCATTCCATTCCATCCAATTTCATTCCATTCTATTCCTTCCCATTCCATTCCTTTCCATTCCATTCCTTTCCTTTTGTTTCCATTCCATTCGAGTCCATTCCACGCCAGTCCATTCCATTCGAGTCCATTCCATTCCAGTACATTCGCTTCGAGTCCATTCCATTCCATTCCATTCCATTCCATTCCATTTGATATCTTTCCATTACACTCCATTCCATTCTATTCCATTCGATGCCATTCACTTCCATTTTATTTGATTCCATTCCATTGGATTCCATTCCATTCGACTCCATTCCATTCGAGTCCATTGCATTCCATTCCTTTCCATTCATTTCCGTTCGATTCCAATCCGTTTGACTCTATTTTGTTCCAATCCTTTCCATTCGATTCCATTCCATTCCAGTCAATTCCATTCGATTCCATTCCGTTTGCTTCCATTCCACTCGATTCCACTCCGTTCCATTCCATTGCATTCCATTCTATTCCATTCCATTGTATTACATTAAATTCCATTTGATTACATTCCATTTGATTCCATTCCATTTGAGTCAATTAGATTGCAGTCCAATATATTAGAGTCCGTTCTATTCCAGTCCATTCCATTCCGGTCCATTCCATTCCAAAGTATTGCGTTCCATTTGATTCCGTTCTATTTGCATATATTCCATTCGAGACCATTCCCTTCGTGTCCATTCCATTTGAGTCCATTCCACTTGAGTCCATTACATTTGGTTCCATTCCATTCCATTCCATTAAATGCCATTCCATTTGATTCTATTCAATTCGAGTCCATTCCATTTGAGTCCATTCCGTTCCATTCGACGCCATTACATTCAATTCTATACCATTCGACTCCATTCCATTCCATTGCTTTCCATTCGATTCGATTCCATTCCATTGATTTCCATTCCATTCGAGTCCATTCCACTCCATTCCATTCCATTCGAGTCCATTCCATTATAGTCCATTCAATTTGAGTCCATTCAATTCCATTCCATGCCATTCAATATCTTTCCATTTCACTCAATTCCGTTCTATTCCTTTCATTTACTTTCAATTCCATTCCATTCAATTCCATTCCGTTCAACTCCATTCCATTCCATTCTGTTCCGTTTGATTTTAATCAGTTCGATACCATTTTGTACCAGTCCATTCCATTCGAGTCCATTCCATTCCAGTCCATTTCATTTCATTCCTTTCCATTCGATTCCATCCCATTCGATTCCATTCCACTCGATTCCACTCGGTTCCATTTCATTGCATTCCATTCTATTCCATTCCATTGAATTCTATTCCATTCCATTTGATTACATTGCATTCAATTCCATTCCATTCAAATCAATTACATTTCAATCCATTACATTCAAGTCCGTTCTATTCCAGTCCGTTCCATTCTGGTCCATTCCATTCTATTCCATTCCATTTGATTCCATTGCATACTATTTCAATCCATTCTATTCCATTCTATTCGAGTAAATTCCATTCTAGACCATTCCGTTCGAGTCCAGTTTATTTGAGTCCATTCCATTCAAATCCATTACATTTGGGTCCATTCCATTCCATTCCATTTGATGCCATTACATTCAGTGTTATTCCATTAGAGAACATTACATTAGAGTCCATTCCATTCCATTCCATTCCACTCCATTCATTGCCATTCCATTCGATTCTATTCCACTCGACTCCATTCCATTCCATTCCATCGGATTCCATTCCATTGTATTCCTTTCCATTCCATTCCATTCCTTTCCATTCCATTTGTGTCCATTCAACTGCAGTCCATTCCATTCCAGTCCATTGCATTCGAGTCCATTCCATTCCATTTCATTACACTCGGTATCTTTCCATTACACTCCAATCCATTCTATTCTTTTGATTCCATTCAATTTCATACCATTTGATTCCATTCCATTTGACTCCATTCCATGCGAGTCCATTCCATTCCATTCCATTCCGTTCCATCCGATTCCAATCCTTACCATTCCATTTTGTACCTGTCCATTCCATTCTAGTCCATTCCATACCAGTCCATTCCCTTCGATTCCATTCCATATGATTACATTCCATTCGATTCCATTCCACTCCATTCCACTCCATTGCATTCTACTTCGTTACATTCTATTCCATTCCAATGCATTCCATTCCATTCCATTTGATTCCATTCCACTTGATTCCATTCCACTCGAGTCAATTACATTGCAATCCATTTCATTCCAGTTCGTTCTGTTCAAGTCCATTCCATTCCAGTCCGTTCCATTCGATTCGATTCAATTCAATTCCATTCCATACTATTGCATTCCATTTGATTCCATTCTATTCGAATAAGTTCCATTCGAGACCATTCCTTTCTATTGCATTCTATTTGAGTACATTTCATTCGAGTCCATTACATTTGGATCCATTCCATTCCATTCCAATCCTTTCCATTCCATTTGATGCCATTCCATTTGATTCTATTCCATTCGAGTTCATTCCATTCCATTTTATTCCATTCCATTCGATGCCATTCCATTCGATTCTATTCCATTTGACTCCATTCCATTCCATTCCATTCAATCCGATTCCATTCCATTATATTCCTTTCCCTTTCATTCCATTCCATTCCATGCCATTCGTTTACATTCCTTTCGAGTCCTTTCCATTCCAGTCCATTCCATTCGAGTCCATTCTTTTCCCATCTATTCCATTCGAGTCCATTCCATTCCATTTCATTACATTCGATATTTTTCTGTTACACTGCATTCCATTCTGTTCCTTTCAATTCCATTCCATTTGACTACATTCCATTCCATTCCATTCCGTTCCGTTCGATTCCAATCCATTAGATTCCATTTTGTTGCAGCCCATTCCATTTGAGTCCATTCCATTGCGGTCCATTCCATTCGATTCCATTCCATTCGATTCCCTTCCATTCAATTCCATTCCACTTCATTCCACTCCATTCCATTCCAATGCATTCGGTTCTCTTCCATTCCATTGCATTCCATTCCATTCCATTTGATTACATTACATTTGAGTCCATTCCTTTCAAATCAATTACATTGCAATCCATTCCATTCGAGTCTGTTCTATTCCAGTCCATGCCATTCCGGTCCATTCCATTCGATTCCATTCCATTTGATTCCATTCCATACCATTGTATTCCATTGGATTCCATTCTATTCGAATAAATTCCATTCGAGACGATTCCTTTCAAGTCCATTGAATTTGAGTGCATTTCACTTGTGTCTATTACATTTGGGTCCATTCCATTCCATTCTATTCCATTCGATGACAGTCCATTCGAGTCCATTCAATTCCATTCCAATCCATTCCATTGCATTCGATGTCATTCCTTTTGATTCCATTCATTCGACTCCATTGCATTCCATTCCATTCCGTCTGTCCATTCCATTCCATTCCATTCATTTCCATTCCATTCGAGTCCATTCCACTCCAGTCCATTCCATTCGAGTCCATTCCATTCGATTCCATTCCATTCGAGTCCATTCCATTTCATTCCATTCCATTCCATTCGATAACTTTCCATTACACTCCAGTCCATTCTATTCCTTTTGATCCCATTCAATTCCTTTCCATTCAATTCCTTTCCATTCAATTCCATTCCATCTGACTCCCTTTCTTATGACTTCATTCCATTCCATTGCATTCCATTCCGCTCTGATCGATTCCACTCTGTTTGATTCCATTTTTTCCAGCCCATTCCATTCGAGTCCATTCCATTCGATTCCAATTCATTCGATTACAGTTCATTCGACTCCATTCCACTCGATTCCACTCCATTCCATTCCATTCCATTGCATTCCATTCTATTCCATTCAATTGCATTGTATTCCTTTCCATTTGATTACATTACATTCGATTCCATTTCATTCAAATCAACTACATAGCAATCCATTACATTTTAGTCCGTTCTATTCCAGTCCCTTTCATTCCAGTCCATTCCGTTCGATTCCATCCCCTTCGATTCCATTCCATACTGTTGCATTCCATTCGATTCCATTCTAATCGAATAAATTCATTTGTGACCATTCCTTTCGAGTCCATTCTATTTGAGTCCATTCCATTCGAGTCCATTATATTTGGGTCCCTTCCATTTCATTCCTTTCCCTTCCATTACATTCCATTCAATGTCATTCCATTTGATTCTATTCCATTCGAGTCCATCACATTGGTGTCCGTTCCATTCCATTCCATTCCATTTTATTCAATTCTATTCCATTTGACTCCATTCAATTCCATTCCGTTCCAGCCGATTTCATTCCTTCTATTCCTTTCCATTCCATGCCAATCCATTCCATTCTTTTCTATTCCATTGGAGTCCATTCCAATCCAGTCCATTCCATTCGAGTCCATTCCATTGAACTCCATTCCATTCGAATCCATTCCACTCAATTCCACTCCATTCCATTCCATTGCATTCAATTCTATTCCATTCTATTGGATTCAATTCCATTCTATTTGATTACATTGCACTCGATTCCTTTCCATTTGAATAAATTACGTTGCAGTCCATTACATTTGGGTCCATTCTATTCCAGTCCATTCCATTACAGTCCATTCCATTCGATACCATTCCTTTCGATTCCATTCCATACTATTGCATTCCATTCGACTCCATTCTATTAGAATAAATTCCATTCGTGACCATTCCTTTCGAGTCCATTGTATTTGAGTCCATTCCATTCGATTCCATTACATTTTGGTCCATTCCATTCCATTCGCTTCCATTCCATTCCATTCCGTTCCATTCCGTTCCATTCCATTCCATTCGTTGCCATTCCATTCGATTCTATTCCATTCCATTCCACTCCATTCCATTAAACTCCATTCAATGCCATTCCATTTGAATCTCTTCCATTCGACTCCATTCCCATCCATTCTGTCCCATCCAATTCCATTCCATTCTATCCCTTTCCGTTCCATTCCATTCCATTCCATTCCATTCCTTTCACTTCCATTACATTCGAGTCCATTCTACTCCATCCCATTCCATTCAAGTCCATTCCATTCCAGTCCATCCCATTAGAGTCCACTCCATTCCATTGCATTCCATTTGATATGTTTCCATTACGCTCCATTCCATTCTATTCTATGAATTCCATTCCATTCCATTCCATTCAATTACATTCCTTTCGATATGTTTCCATTATGCTCCATTCCATTTTATTCCATTCGATTCCATTCAATTCCATTCCATTATATTCCATTCCGTTCGATTCCATTACACTCAGTTCCACTCCAATCCATTCCATTGTATTCCATTGTATTCCATCCCATTGCCTTCCATTCCATTCCATTAGATTACATTCCATTCAATTCCATTCCTTTCAATTCCATTACACTCGATTCCACTCCAATCCATTCCTTTGCATTCCATTTTATTCCATCCCATTGCCTTCCATCCCATTCCATTAGATTACATTCCATTCGATTGCATTCCGTTGGAATCAATTTCTTTGCAATCCATTACATTCAAGTGTGTTCTATTCCAGTCCATTCAATTCTGCTACATTCCATTCGATTCCATTCCATTCGATTCCATTGCATACAGTTGCTTTCCTTTCGATTCCATTCTATTTGAATAAATTCCATTCTAGACCATTTCTTTAAAGTCCATGCCATTCGAGTCCATACCATTCGAGTCCATTCCATTCGATTCCGTTCTGTTCGATTCCATTCCATTCGGTTCCATTGCATGCAATTGCATTCCTTTCGAATCCATTCTATTTGAATAAATTCCATTCTAGACCATTCCTTTAAAGTCCATTCCATTCGAGTCCATACCATTCGAGTCCATTCCATTCGATTCCATTCCATTCGATTCCATTCCATTCGATTCCATTCCTCCCGATTACTCTCCATTCCATTCGATTGCATTCCATTCTATTCCATTCCATTGCATTCCATTCAATCCCATTTGATTACATTTCATTTGATTCCATTCCATTCGAATCAATTACATTGCAATCCATTTCATTCGTGTCCGTTCTATTCCAGTCCTTTTCTTTCTGGTCCATTCCATTTGATTCCATTCCATTCGATTCCATTCCATACTATTGCAGTCCATTCTATTCCATTCTATTGGCATGAATTCCATTCGAGACCATTACTTTCCAATCCATTCTATTTGAGTCCCTTCCTTTCAAGTCCATTATATATGGGTCCATTCAATTCCATTCCATTCCATTCCATTTCTTTCGATGTCATTCCATTCCATTCTATTGCATTCAATTTCATTCCATTCGAGTCCATTCCATTCCATTCCATTAAATTCGACGCCATTCCGTTTGATTCTATTCCATTTGAATCCATTCCATTCCATTCCACTGCATTCCACCTGAGTCCATTCCATTCTATTCCATTCCATTCCATTCCTTGCCATTCCATTCCATTCCATTTGAGTCCATTCCATTCCATTCCATTCCATTTGGTATCATTCCATTGCACTCTGATCCATTCTCTTTCTTTCGATTAAATTCAATTCCATTCTATTCGATTACATTCCATTCGATTCCATTGCATTCAACTCCATTCCAATCGAGTCCATTCCATTCCATTGCATTCCATTCCATTCCGTTCCATTTGATTCCAATCCGTTCGATTCCATTTTGTTTCAGTCCATTCCATTTGATTCCATTCCATTCGTTTCCATTCCATTCGATTGCATTCCCCTTGATTCCACTCCATTCCATTCCATTGCATTCCATTCTCTTCCATTCTATTGCATGCCATTTTATTTCATTTGATTACATTCCATTCGATTCCATTCATTTCATATCAATTACATTACAATCCATTACATTTGAGTCCATTCTATTCCAGTCCATTCCATTCCGATCCATTCCATTCAATTCTTTCCTTTCGATTCCACTCCATAATCTTGCATTCCATTCCATTCCTTTCTATTCGAATAAGTTCCATTCAAGACCATTCCTTTCAAGTCCGTTCTATCTGAGTCCGTTCCATTAGAGTACATTACCTTTAGGTCCATTCCATTCCATTCCATTCCATTCCATTCCATTCCATGCCATGCCATTCCTTTCAATTCTCTTCTATTCGAGTCCACTCCATTCGAGTCCATTCCATTCCGTTCCATTCCATTCGATGCCTTTCCATTCAATTCTATTCCATTCGACTCCATTCCATTCGAGTCCATTCCAATCCATTCCATTCCTTTCCCTTTGATTCCAATCCGTTCAATTCCAGTTTTTTCCATTCCATTCCATTCGAGTCCACTACATTCGATTCCATTCCATTGGATTCCATTTCATTTGATTCCATTCCACTCGATTCCACTCTGTTCCATTCGATTGCGTTCCATTCTATTCCATTCCATTACATTCCATTCCATTTGATTACTTACCAACCGATTCCATTCCATTCATATCAATTACATTGAAATCCATTACATTTGGGTCCGTTCTATTCCAGTCCATTCCATTCCTGTCCATTCCATTCGATTCCATTCTGTTCGATTCCATTCCATACAATTGCATTCCATTCGATTCCGTTCTAATCAAATAAATTCATTTGAGACCATTCCTTTCGAGTCCATTCTATTTGAGTCCATTCCATTCGAGTCCATTACATTTGGGTTCATTCCATTCCATTCCATTCCATTCCTTTCCATTCGATTTCCTTTCATTCTATTCTTTTCCATTCAAGTCCATTCCATTCTAGTCCGTTCCTTTCCATTAAATTCCATTCAATTCGATGCCATTCCATTCGATTCTATTTCATTAGACTCCATTCCATTCCATTTCATTCCATCTGATTCCATTCCATTCAATTCCTTTCCATTCCATTCCATTCGTTTCCATTCCATTCAAGCCCATTCCACTCCACTCCATTCCATTCGAATCCATTCCATTCCAGTACATTCCATTCAGGTCCATTCCATTCCATTCCATTCGATATATTTCCATTGCACTCCTTTCCATTCTATTCCATTCCATTCCATATCTTTCCATTAAACTCCATTCCATTCTATTCCTTTTGATTCCATTCAATTCCATTCCATTCGATTCCATTCCATTCATTTCTATTTCATTCGACTCCATTCCATGCGAGTCCATCCCATTCCATTCCCTTCCATGCCGTTCCGTTTGATTCCTATCCGTTCAATTCCATTTTGTTTCTGTCCATTCCATTCAAGTCCATTCAATTCCAGTCCATTCATTTCGATTCCTTTCCATTAAATTCCATTCCACTACATTCCACTCTGTTCCATTCCATTGCATTCCATTCTAAAGCATTCCATTGCATTCCATTCTATTCCATTCCATTGCATAACATTCCATTCCATTTGATTACATTCCATGCGTTTCAATTCCATTCAAATCAATTATATTACAATCCATTACATTGGAGTCTGTTCTATTGAAATGCATTCCATTCCAGTCCATTCCATTCCAATCCATTCCATTCGATTCCATTCCATTCCATTCGATATCTTTCCATTACACTCCATTCCATTCTATTCCTTTCGATTCCATTCAATTCCATTCCATTCGATTCCATTCCATTCGATTCCATTCCAGTCGACTCCATTCCATTCGAGTCCATTCCATTCAATTCCATTCCCTTCCATTCCGTTCGATTCCAATCCTTTCAATTCCATTTTTTTCCAATCTATTCCATTCGAGTCCATTCCATTCCAGTCCATTCCATTCCAGTCCATTCCATTCGATTGCATTCCATACTATTGCATTAAATTCGATTCCATTCTCTTTGAATAAATTCCTTTTGAGACCATTGATTTCCTGTCCATTCTATTTGAGTCCATTCCATTCGAGTCCATTACTTTTCTGTCAATTCCATTCCATTCCATTCCATTCGATGCAATTCCGTTCTATTCTATTCCATTCGAGTACATTCCATTCTATTCCTTTCAATTCCATTCAATGCCATTACATTCGATTCTACTCCATTCGACTCCATTCCATTCCATCCGATTCCATTCCATTCTATTCCTTTCAATTCCATTCCATTCCATTCGTTTCCATTCCATTCCAGTCCATTCCACTCCAGTCCAATGCATTTGAGTCCATTCCTTTCCAGTCCATTCCATTTGAGTCCATTCCACTCCATTCGATATCTTTCCATTACACTCCATTCCATTCTATTCCTTTTGATTGCATTCAATTCCATTCTATTAGACTACATTCCATTCGATTCCATTCCATTCGACTCCATTCCATTCGAGTCCATTCCATTCCTTTAAATTTCATTCCATTCTGTTCCGTTCGATTCCAATCTTTTTGATTCCATTTTTTCCAGTCCATTCAATTCGAGTCCATTCCATTCGAGTCCATTCCTTTCGATTCCATTCCATTCAATTCTATTCCACTCGATTCCACTCCTTTCCATTCCATTGCATTCTATTCTATTCCATTCCATTGCATTCCATTCAATTCCATTTGTTTACATTCCATTTGATTCCATTACATTCGAATCAATTACATTGCAATCCGTTACATTCAAGTCCATTCTATTCCAGTCCATTTCATTCCGATCCGTTCCATTCGATTCCATTCCATTCCATGCTATTGCATTCCATTCGATTCCGTTCAATTTGTATAAATTGAATTCGAGACCATTCCTTTCGAGTCCATTGTATTTGAGTCCATTACATTCGAGTGCGTTACGTTTGGTGCCATTCCATTCCATTCCATTCCATTCCATGCCATTCCATTCTATTTTATTCCATTCGAGTCCATTACATTAGAGTCCATGCCATTTCTTTCGATTCCATTCGATGCCATTCAATTCAATGCCATTCCATTGGATTCTCTTCCATTTGACTCCTATCCATTCCATTCCATTCCATCCGATTCCATTCCATTCTATTTCTTTCCACTCCATTCCTTTCCATTGCATTCCTTTCCTTTTGTTTCCATTCGATTCAAGTGCATTCCACTCCAGTCCATTCCTTTCGAGTCCATTCCATTCCAGTCCATTCCATTCGAGTCCATTCCATTCCATTGGATATATTTCTATTACACTCCATTCCATCCTATTCCTTTGGATTCCATTCAATTCTATTCTATTTGATTCCATTCCATTCGATTAAATTCCATTCCACTCCATTCAATTCAACTCCATTCCATTCGAATCCATTCCATTCCAATCCATTCATTTCCGTTCGATTCCAATCTGTTTGACTCCATTTTTTTCTAATCCATTCCATTCGAGTCCATTCCTTTCCAGTCATTTCCATTCGATTCCATTCCATTTGCTACCATTCCACTAGATTCCACTCTGTTCCATTCTGCTGTATTCCATTCTATTCCATTCCATTACATTCCATTCTATTCCATTCCATTGCATTACATTATATTCCACTTGATTACATTCCATTCGATTCGATTCCATTTCAATCAATTAGATTGCAATCCATTACACTTGAGTCTGTTCTATTCCAGTCAATTCCATTCTGGTCCATTCCATTCAATTCCATTCAATAGAATTGCATTCCATTCGATTCCATTCTATTTGCATATATTCCATTCGAGTCCATTCCTTTCATGTCCATTCCATTTGAGTCCATTACTTTTGTGTCCATTGCATTCCATTCCATTCCATTCCAGGCCATTTCATTTGATTCTATTCAATTCGAGTCCATTCCATTTGAGTCCATTCCATTCCATTCAACACCATTACATTCGATTCTATTCCATTCGACTCCATTCCATTCCGTTACATTCCATCTGATTCCATTACATTCCATTCGTTTCCATTCCATTCGAGTCCATTCCACTCCAGTCCATTCCATTCTAGTCCATTCCATTATAATCCATTCCATTCGATTCCATTCAGTTCCATTCCATGCCATTTGATATCTTTCCATTTCACTCCATTCCATTCTATTCCTTTCATTTCCATTCAGTTCCATTCCATTCCATGCCATTCCATTCCATTCCATTCCATTCGATTCCATTCCATTCGACTCCATTCAATTCCATTCAATTCTATTCCATTCTACTTCGTTCGATTCCAATCAATTCCACTCCATTTTGTTCCACTCCATTCTATTCGAGTCCATTTCATACCAGTCCATTCCATTCGATTCCATTCCATTCAATTCCACTCCGTTCCATTCCATTGCATTCCAATCTATTCCATTCCATGCGATTCCAATCCATTCTCATCTATTACATTGCAATCCACTACATTCAAATACATTCTATTCCAGTCTATTCCATTCTGGTACATTCAATTCGATTGCATTCCATACTATTGCATTCCATTCAATTCCATTCCATTCGAATAAATTTCATTCGAGGCCATTGCCTTTGAGTCCATTCAATTTCAGTCCATTCCCTTAGAGCCCTTTATATTTGGGTCCATTCCATTCCATTCCTTTCCATTCGATGCCATTCCATACGATTCTATTCCATTCGAGTTCATTCCAGTAAATTCCATTCCATTCCATTCGATGTCATTCCATTCCATTAAAGTCCATTCCATTCCACTCCTTTCCATCTGATTCCATTCCATTCTATTCCTTTCCATTCCATTCCATTCGTTTCCATTCCATTCGAGTCCATTCGACTCGAGTCCATTCCATTCCAGTCCATTCCTTTCCATTCCATCCCATTCCATTCCATTCCAGCCCATTCCATATGAGTCCATTCCATTTGATTATATTCCATTCGAGCCCATTCCATTCCATTCCATTCGACACATTTCCATTACACTCCATTCCAGTCTATTCCTTTCGTTTCCATTCATTTCCATTCCATTTGATTCCGTTCCATTCGACTCCATTTCATTCGACTCCATTCTGTTCGAGTCCATTCCATTCCATTCCATTCCATTTGATTCCAATCTGTACAATTCCTTTTTATTCCAGTCCATTCCATCCGATTCCACTCCATTACAGTCCATTCCATTGGATTCCATTCCATTAGATTCCATTTCATTCGATTCCATTCCACTCCATTCCCCTCCATTCCATTCCATTGCATTCCATTCTATTCAATTCCATTGCCTTCCTTTCCGTTCCGTTGTATTACATTTCATTTGATTCCATTCCATTCGAATCAATTTCATTGCAATCCATTCCATTCGTGTCCTTTCTATTCCACTCATTTCCATTCCAGTCCATTCCATTCGATTCCATTCCATTTGATTCCATTCCATTCGAATCAATTACATTGCAATCCATTACATTCGAGTCCTTTCTATTCCAGTCCATTCTATTCTGGTCCATTCCATTCTATTCCATTCCATTCGTTTGTTTCCATTCGAATCAATTACATTGCAACAAACTGCATTCGAGTTCATTTTATTGCAGTCCATTCCACTCTGTTCCATTCCATTTGATTCCATTCTTTTCGATTCTGTTCAATAATATTGCATTCCTTTCGATTCCATTCTATTCGAATAAATTCCATTCGAGACTATTTCTTTCGAGTCCATCCTATTTGAGTCCATTCCATTCGAGTCCATTACATTTGGGTCCATTCCATTCAATTCCATTCCTTTCCATTCCATTCTATTCAATTCGAGTCCATTCTTTTTGAGTCATTTCCATTCCATTCCATTCGATGCCATTCCATTCTATTCTATTCCATTCAACTTCATTCCCGTCCATTGCATTCCCTCCGATTCCTTTCCATTCTTTTTCGTTCCATTCCATTCCATTGCATTCCATTCAATTCCATTCGTTTCCATTCCATTCAACACATTTCCACTCCTGTCCTTTCCATTCGAATCCATTCCATTCTAGTCCATTCATTTCGACTGCATTCCATTTCCATTCCATTCAATATCTTTCTATTACACTCCATTCCATTCTATTCTTTCGCTTCCATTCAATTCCATTCTGTTAGATTCCATTACTTTCGATTCGATTCCATTCGACTCCATTGCATTCGTTTCGATTCCATTCCATTCCATTACGTTTGATTCCAATCCGTTCGATTTCATTTTGTTACAGTACATTCCATTCGACTCCATTCCATTCCTGTCCATTTCATTGGCTTCCATTCCATTAGCTTCCATTATATTTAATTCCATTCCACTCAATTCCACTCTGTTCCATTCCATTGCATTCCATTCTATTCTAGTCCATTGCAATCCATTCCATTCCATTTGATTAAATTCCATTCAATTCCATTCCATTCGAATCAATTACATTGCAATCCATTACACTTGAGTCCCTTCTATTCAAATCCATTCCATTCCGGTCCATTTCATTCGATTCCATTCCATTTGATTCCATTCCATTCGAATCAATTACATTGCAATCCATTACATTTGACTCCGTTCTATTCCAGTACATCCATTCCGGATCATTCCATTCTATTTGATTCCATTTGATTGCATTCCATATTACTGCATTCCATTCGATTCCATTCTATTCATACGGATTCCTTTTCAGATCATTTCTTTTGAGGCCATTCTATTCGAGTCCATTACATTTGAGACCATTCCGTTCAATTCTGTTCCATTCCATGCCATTCCATTCGATGCCATTGCATTAGATTCTATGCCATTCGAGTCCACTGCATTCGAGTCCATTCCATTCCATTCCACTCCATTCCAATCCATTTGATGCAATTCCATTTGATTCTATTCCATTCAACTCCATTCCATTTCATTCCATTCCATCCGATTCCATTCCCTTCTATTCCTTTCCATTCCTTTCCATTCCATTCCATTCCATGCCATTCCATTCCATTCGTTTCCATTCCATTCGAGTCCATTCCACTCAAGTCCATTCCATTCGAGTCCATTCCCTTCCAGTCCATTCCATTCGAAGGCATTCCATCCAATTCCATTCCATTCGATATCTTTCCATTACACTCCATTTCATTCTGTTCTTTAGGATTCCATTCAATTCCATTCCATTCGATTCTATTCCATTCGACTCCATTCCATTCGAGTCCATTCCAATCCATTCCATTACACTCGGGTCCGTGCGATTCCAATCCATTCGATTCCATTTTGTTCCAGTACATTCCATTCGAGTCCATTCCATTCAATTCCATTTTATATCTTTCTGTTACACTCCATTCCATTCTATTCCTTTCGATTCCATTCAATTCGATTCCATTTGATACCATTCCATTCAATTCCATTCCGTTCAACTACATTCCATTCGAGTTCATTCCATTCCATTCCACTCCTTTCCATTCGATTCCAATCTGTTTGATTCCAATTTGTACCAGTCCATTCCATCCCGCTACTTTCCATTTGATTCCATTCGATTCGATTCCATTCCATATTATTGCATTCCATTCGATTCCATTCTATTCTAATAAATTCAATTCGAGAACATTCCTTTCGAGTACATTCTATTTGAGTCCATTCCATTCGAGTCCATTACATTTGGGTCCATTACATTCCATTTCTTTCTATTCCCTTCCATTCCATGCGATTCCATTCGATTCTATTCCGTTCGATCCCATTCCATTGCATTCCATTCCAACTGATTCCATTCCATTCTATTCTTTTCCATTTCATTCCATTCCTATCCTTTCCATTCCATTGCATTCGTTTCCATTCCATTCAAATCAATTCCACTCCAGTTCATTACATTCGAATCCATTCCATTCGAGGCCATTCCATTCAAGTCAATTCCTTTCGAGTCCATTCCATTCTGTTCTATTCCACTCGATATCTCTCCATTACACTCCATTGCATTCTATTCCTTTTGATTCCATTCCATTCATTTCCATTCCATTCGACTCCATTCTATTCGTGTCAATTCCATTCCATTCTATTCCGTTCCATTAGATTCCAATCCGTTTGATTCCATTTTATTCCAGTCCACTGAATTCGAGTCCATTCCATTCTACTCCATTCCATTCCATTCCATTCCATTCCATTCTATTCCAATCGATTCCATTACGTTCCATTCCATTGGATTCCATTCTATTCCATTCCATTCCATTTGATTACATTCTGTTCTATTCCATTCTTGTCGAATCAATTACATTATAATCCATTACATTCTATTCTGTTGTATTCCAGTCCATTCTGTTCCGGTATATTCCATTCGACTCCATTCCATTTAAATCCATTCCATACTATTGCATTACTTTCGATTACATTCTATTCGAATAAATTACATTCGAGATCATTCCTTTTGAGTCCATTCTATTTGAGCCCATTCCATTCGATTTCCATTACTTTTGGACCATTCCGTTCCATTCCATTCCATTCCATTCCATTCAATGCCATTCCATCTGACTATATTCCATTCGAGTCCATTCCATTCGAATCCATTCCATTCCATTCTAATCCATTCGATGCCATTCCATTAGACTGTATTCCATTTGACTTCATTAAATTCCATTCCGTTCTATCCAATTCTATTCCATTCTCTTCCATTCCATTCCATTCCATTCCATTCTTTTCCATTCCATTCATGTCAATTCCGCTCCAGTACATTTCATTTGAGTCCATTCCATTCCATTCTATTTGAGTCCATTCTATTCCATTCCATTCCATTCCATTCGAGTCCATTCCATTCCATTCCATTCCATTCCATTCCATTCCATTCCATTTGATATCTTTCCATTACACTCCATACCATTCTATTCCTTTCGATTCCTTTCAATTCCATTCCATTCGATTCCAATCCATTCAGTTCCATTCCATTCGTCTCCATTCCATTCGAATCCATTCCATTCCATTCCATTCCATTCCATTCCATTCCATTCTTTTCGATTCCAATCGGTTCCATTTCATTTTGTTCCAGTCCATTCCATTGCATTCTATTCAATTCCATTCCATCTAATTCCATTCCACTTGGTTCCACTCCATTCCATTCCTTTGCATTCCATTCTGTTCCATTCTATTGCATTCAATTCCATACTATTGAATACGTTCCTTTCGATTCCATTCCTTTCGAATCAATTACATTGCAATCCATTGCATTCCAGTCCGTTTTATTCCATTCCATTCCATTCCGGTCCATTGCTTTCGATTCCATTCCATACTACTGCTTTCCATTTGATTCCATTCTATTCGAATAAATTCCATTTGATACCACTTCTTTCTACTCCATTCTTTATGAGTCCATTCCATTCGAGTCCATTACAATTGGGTCCATTCCATTCCATTCAATTCTATTCCATTGAATTCCATTCCATTCGATTCTATTCCATTCAATTCCATTCCATTCGATTCCATTCCTTTCCAATCCATTCCATTCCGTTTGGTGCCATACCATTCGATTCTATTCCATTCGACTCCATCCGATTCCATTCTATTCTATTCCTTTCCATTTCATTCCATTCAATTCCATTCGTTTCCATTCCATTCCATTCCATTCTTGTCCATTATATTCTAGTCAATTCCACTCCAGTCCACTCCATTCGAGTCAATTCCATTCCATTCCATTCCATTCGAGTCCTCTCCATTCCATTCCATTCCATTCCATTCGAGTCCTCTCCATTCCATTCCATTCCATTCCATTCGATATCTTTTTACTACACTCCATACCATTCCATTCGAATCCACTCCATTCCGTTCCATTCCATTCAATATCTTTCCATTAAACTCCATTCCATTCTATTCCTTTTTATTCCATTCAATTCCATTCCATTCAAAACCCATTCCTTTCGAGTACACTCCATTCCATTCCATTCAATTCCATTCTATTCCAAACTGTTCTTTTCCATTTTGTTCCAGTCCATTCCATTCGAATACATTCCATTCTGTCCATTCCATTCGATTCCTTTCCACTTGATTCCACTCCGTTCCATTCCATTGCATTCCATTCTATTCCATTCCATTGCATTCCATTCCATTCCATTTGATTACATTCCATTGGATTCCATTCCATTCGAATCAATTACATTGCACTCCATTACATTTGAGTCCATTCTATTCCAGTCGATTCCATTCCGGTCCATTCCTTTATACTCCTTTCCATTCGATTCCACTCCATACTATTGCGTTACATTCGATTCCATTCTATTCGAATAAATGCCATTCGAGACCATTCTTTTCGAGTGCTTTCTATTATATTCCACTCCATTCGAGTCCATTATATTTGGGTCCATTCCATTCCATTCGTTTCCTTTCCCTTCTATTCTATTCCATTCGAGTCCATTCCATTCGAGTCCATTCCATTCCATTCCATTCCATTCGAGTCCATTCCATTCCATTCCATTCCTTTCCATTCCATTCCATTCGATGTCATTCCATTCGATTCTATTACATTTGATGCCTTTCCATTACATTCCGTTCCATCCGATTCCATTCCATTCTATCCCTTTCTGTAACATTCCATTCCTTTCCTTCCATACAATTCCATTCCATTAGTTTGCATTCCATTCATGTCCATTCCACTCCAGTCCATTTCATTCAATACACTCCATTCCTGTCCATTCCATTCGTGTCCATTCCATTCCATTCCATTCCGTTCCATTCCATTCAATATCTCCGCATTACACTCCATTCCATACTACTCCATTCGATTCCATTCAATTCCATTCCATTCGATTCCATTCCACTCGACTCCATTCCGTTCCATTCCATTACACTCGAGTCCACTCTGTTCCATTCCATTGCATTCCATTTTATTCCTTTCCATTGCATTCCATTCCATTTGATTAGATTACATTCCATTCGATTGCATTCAATTTGAATCGAATACTTTGCAATCCATTACGTTCATGTCCATTCTATTCCAGTCCATTCCCTTCCAGTCCATTCCATTCGATTCCATTCCATTCGATTCAATTCCATACTATTGCATTCCATTCGATTCCATTCTATTCGAATAAATTCCATTCGAGACCATACGTTTAGAGTCCATTCCATTCGAGTCTATTCCATTCATGTCCATTCCATTCGATTCCATTCCGTTTTATTCCATTCCACTCGATTCCTCTCCGATCCATTCCATTGCATTCCATTCTACTCCATTCCGTTGCTATCCATTTCATTCCATGTGATTACATTCCATTCAATTCCATTCCATTTGAATCAATTACATTGCAATCCATTACATTTGGGTCCGTTCTATTCCACTCCATTCCATTCCATTCCATTCCATTCCATTCCATTCGACACAATTCCATACTATTGCATTCTAGTCAATAAAGTTCTATTCAAATAAATTACATTCGAGACCATTCCTTTCGAATCCATTGTATTTGAGTCCCTTTTTTTGAGTCTATTCCATTCGATTCCATTCCATTCCATTCAATTCCATTCCATTCCATTCCATCCCATGCCATTGCATTTCATTCTATTCCATTCATGTCCATTCCATTCGATTCCATTCCATTCCATTCAATTCCATTCAATTCCATTCCAATCGATTCTGTTCCATTCAACTTCATTCAATTCCTTAACGTTCCATCCGATTCCATTCCATTCTATTCCTTTGCCTTCCATTCCATTCTATTCGTTTCTAATCCATTCGTGTCCATTCCACTCCACTCCTTTCCATTCGAGTCCACTCCATTCCAGTCCATTCCATTCGAGTCCATTCCATTCCATTCCATTCGATATCTTTCCATTACACTCCATTCCATTCTATGCCTTTCGATTCCATTCAATTCAATTCCATTCGATTCCTTTCCAATCGTTTCCATTCCATTCTACACCATTCCATTCGAATCCATTCCATTCCTTCCATTCCGTTCGGATCCATTTTCTTACAGTCCATTCCCTTCGAGTCCATTCCATTCCAGTCCATTCCATTCGATTGCATTCCATTCAATTCCATTCCACTCGATTCCACTCCTTTCCAATCCATTGCATTTGATTCTATTGCATTCCTTTGCATTCCTTTCCATTCCATTTGATTAAATTCCATTTGATTCCATTCCATTCTAATCAATTACATTGCCATCCATTACATTTGTATCCGTTCTTTTCCTGTCGATTCCATTCCAGTCCATTCCATACGATTCCATTCCTTTCGATTCCATTCGATACTATTGCATTCCATTCGATTCCATTCTATTCGAATAAATTCCATTCGAGACCATTCCCTTTGAGTCCATTCTATTTGAGTCCATTCCATTCGATTCCATTACATTTGGGTCCATTCCATTCCATTCTATTCCATTCCATTTCATTCCATTCGATGCCATTCCATTCGATTCTATTCCATTGGAGTCCATTCCATTCCATTCACTTCCATCCGATTCCATTCCATTGTATTCCTTTCCATTCCATTCCATTCTATTCCATTGTTTTCCATTCCATTCGAGTCCATTCAGCTCCAGTCCATTCCTTTCAACTCCCTTCCATTCCAGTCCATTCCATTCGAGTCCTTTCCTTTCCATTCCATTGCATTCAATATCTTTCCTTTCCATTCCATTCCATTCAATTCCTTTCGTTTCCTTTCAAATCCAATCCATTCGATTCCATTCCATTCGGTTTCTTTCCATTTGACTCCATTCCATTCGAGTCCATTCCATTCCATTACATTACATTCGAATCCATTCCATTCCCTTCCATTCCATTCCGTATCTTTCCTTTTCACTCCTTTCCATTCTTTTCCTTTCGATTCAATTCAATTCCATTCCGTTTGATTGCATTCCATGCAGTTCCATTTCTTTCGAATCAATTCCTTTCCATTCCTTTCCATTCTCCTCCGTTCGATTCCAATCCTTTCCGTTCAATTTTGTTCCTGTCCAAGGAATTCTAGTTGATTCCATTCCAGTCCGTTCCATTTGATTCTATTGCATTCGATTCCATTCCATGCTATTGCATTCCATTCAATTCCATTCTATTCGACTAAATTCCGTTCGAGACAATTCCTTTTGAGTCCATTCTATTTGATTTCATTCCATTCGAATCCATTACATTTGGGTCTATTCCATTCCATTCGGTTCCATTCTGTTCCGTTCAATTCCAATCCGTTTGATTCCATTTTGTTCCAGAACATTCCATTCGAGTCCATTCCATTCCACTCCATTTCATTCGATTCCATTCCATTCAATTGCATTCCACTCGATTCCAGTCCGTTCCAGTCCATTGCATTCCATTCTCTTCCATTCCATTGCATTTCTTTCCATTTCATTTGGTTTCATTACCTTTGATTCCATTCCATTCGAATCAATTACATTGCAATCCATTACTTTCATGTCCATTCAATTCCATTCCATTCCTTTCGATTCCATTCCATTCAACTTCATTCGATTCGATTCCATTCCATTTCATTCAATGCCATTCCATTCAATGCTATTCCATCCGAATACATTCCATTACAGTCCATTCCATTCCATTGCATTCCATTCCATTCCATTCATTCCCATTCCATTCGATTCTATTCCATTCGACTCCATTCCATTCCATTCCGTTCCATCTGATTCCATTCCACTGCATTCCTTTCTGTTCCATTCCATTCCATTCTTTTTGATTCCATTCGAGTCCATTGCACTGCAGTCCATTCCATTCTACTCCATTCCATTCCTATCCATTGCCTTCGAGTCCATTCCTTTCTATTCCATTCCATTCTGTATCTTTACATTATACTCCAATCCATTCAATTCTTTCGATTCCATTCAATTCCATGTCATTTGATTCCATTCCATTTGGCTCCATGCCATGTGAGTTCATTCCATTCCATTCCATTCCATTCCATTCTGTTCGATTCCAATCCATTCTATTCCATTTTGTACCTGTCCATTCCATTCTATTCCATTCCATACCAGTGCATTCCATTCAATTCCATTCCATACAATTCCATTCCATTCGATTCCATTCCACTCAATTCCACTCAGTTCCATTCCACTGCATTTCACTCCATTCCATTTCATTGTATTCCATTCCATTTGATTACATTCCACTTGATTCCATTCCATTCAAGCCATTTAAATTGGAATCCATTATATTTCAGTCCGTTGTAATCTAGTCCATTCCATTCCACTCCATTCCATTTGATTCGATTCCATTCGATTCCATTCCATACTATTGCATTCCATTCGATTCCATTCTATTCGAATAAACTCCATTCGAGACCATTCCTTTGGATTGCATTCTATTTGAGTTCACTCTATTCAAGTCCATTACATTTCATTCCATTCCATTCCATTCGAAGTCATTCCATACTATTCTATTCCATTCGAGTCCATTCCATTTGAGTCCTTTCCATTCCATTCCATTCTATTCCATTTCCATTCGATTCCATTCCATTCCATTCGACTCCGTTCCATTCCATTCTGATCCATCAGATTCCATTCCATTCTATTCCTTTCTATTTCCTTCCATTCTATTCAAATGGTTTCCATTCCATTAGTTTCCATTCCATTCAATCCATACCACTCCAGTCCTTTCCATTCGAGTCCATCCCATTCCACTCCGATTTATTCGAGTCAATCCCATTCCATTCCATTTGATATCTTTCAATTACATTCCATTATATTCAATTCCTTTCAATTGCATTCAATTCCATTCCATGGGATTCCATTACATTCCGTTCCATTCCATTAGACTTCATTCCATTCGAGTCCATTTCATTCCATTCCATTTGTTCAAATCCGTTCGATTCCATTTTGTTCCAGTCCATTCTATTCGAGTCCATTCCGTTTGATTCCATTTCATTCCATTCGAGGTCATTCCATTCCTTTCCATTCCATTCCATTCCAATCCATTCCGTTCGTTTCCATTCTTTTCGATTCCATTCCATTCCATTGCATTCCATTCGATGCCATTCCATTCAATTTTTTCCATTTGACTCCATTCCATTCCATTTCTTTCCATCCGTTTCCATTCCATTCTATTGCTTTCCATTGCATTCCATTCCTTTCCAGTCCATTCCATTCGAGTCCATTCATTCCTCTCCATTTGATATCTTTCCATTACACTCCATTCCATTCTGTTCCCTTCGATTCCATTCAATTCCATTCTATTCGTTTCCACTCCTTTCGATTCCATTCTGTTTGACTCAATTACTTTCGAGGTCATTCCTTTCCATTCCATTCCATTCCGTTCCATTCGATTCCAATCCGTTCGATTCCATTTTGTTCAATTCCATTCCATTCGAGTCCATTCCATTCTAGTATATTCCAATCGATTCCATTCCACTCAACTCCATTCCATTCGATTCCATTCCACTTGATTCCACTCTATTCCATTCCATTGCATTCTATTCGATTCCATTTCACTGCTTTCCGTTCCATTCCATTTAATTACATTCCATTCGATTCCATTCCATTCAAATCTATGACATTGCAGTGCATTACATTTGAGTCCTTTCTATTCCAGTACATTCCATTCCGTTCCATTCCATTCGATTCCATTACATTCGATTCCATTCCATAATATTGCATTCTACTTGATTCCATTGTATTCGAATAAATTCCTGTCGAGACCATTCCCTTTGTGTCCATTCTATTTGTGTCCATTCCTTTTGAGTGCATTACATTTGTGTCCATTCCATTCCATGCCATTCCATGCCATTCCATCTGATTCTATTCCATTTGATTCCATTCCATTTGAGTCCATTCCATTCCACTCAACGCCATTATATTCAATTCTATACAATTCGAATCCATTGCATTCCATTGCGTTCCATCCACTTCCATTCCATTCTATTCCTTTCCATTCTGTTCCACTCCAGTCCATTCCATTCGATTCCATTCCATTCTATTCTATTCCATTCTGTACCGTTTTATTCAAATCCGTTCGATACCATTTTGTTCTAGTCCAATCCATTCGCGTCCATTCCATTCCAGTTCATTCCATTCGATTCCATTCCACTCGATTCCACTCTGTTCCATTCTTTTGCATTCCATTCTATTCCATTCCATTTCATTCCACTCCATTCCATTTGGGTCGATTCCACTCCATTCCATTCCATTGTATTGGATTGCATTCCATTCAATGCTATTCCATTCGAGTATTTTCCATTAGAGTACATTCGATTCCATTCCGTTCCATTCCATTCATTGTCATTCCATTTGATTCTATTCCATTGGACTACATTCCATTCCATTGTGTTCCATCCGATTCCATTCCATTCTACTCCATTCCTTTCCATTCCCTTTCATCTGATTCCATTCCATTGTATTTTTTTCCTTTCAATTCCATTCTATTCCATTCCCTTTCATTCCATTCTATTCGTTTCCTTTCCATTCGAGTCCATTCTACTCCAGTCCATTCCAATCCAGTACATTCCATTCCAGTCCATTGTATTTGAGTCCATTCCCTTCCATTCCTTTCCGTATCTTTCCATTAAACTCCAATCCATTCTATTCTTTCGATTTCATTCCATTCCATTAGATTCCATTCCTTTTGACCCCATTCCATGCGCATCCATTCCATTCCATTCCATTCCGTTCGATTCCAATCCATTCCATTCCATTCCATTCCAATACATTTGGTTCCATTCCATTCCATTCCATTCCATTCATAGTCATTCCATTCTATTCTATTCCATTCGAGTCCATTCCATTCGAGTCCTCTCAATTCCATTCCTTTCAATCCCATTCCTTTCAATTCCATTCAATGCCATTCCATTCGATTCTATTCCATCTGACTCCATTCCATTGCATTTCGTTCCGTCCAATTCCTTTCTATGCTATTCCTCTCCATTCCATTCAATTCCATTCCATTCGTTTCCATTCCTTTCGAGTCCATTGCACTCCAGTCCATTCCATTCGAGTACATTCCATTCCAGTCCAATCCATTCGTGTCCATTCCATTCCATTCGATATTTTGCCATTGCACTATATTCCATTCTATAACTTTCGATTCCATTCGATTCCATTCCATTTGGTTACATTCCATTCGACTCCATTCCATTCAACTCCATTCCATTCCATTCCATTCCGTTTGATTCCAATCCTTTCCAATCCATTTTGTTCCAGTGAATTCCATTGGAGTCCATTCCATTCCAATCCATTCAATTCAATTCCATTCCATTCGATTAAATTCCACTCGATTACACTCCATTCCATTCCATTCGATTCCACTCCATTCCATTCCATTGCATTCCTTTTCACTCCATTGCATTCAATTCCATTCCACTCGGTTCCACTCCGTTCCATTCCATTGCATTCCACTTTTTTCCATTCCATTGAATTCCATTCCATTCCATTTGATTACATAAAATTTTATTCCGTTCCATTCAATTCATTTACATTGCAATCCATTACATTCGAGTCCGTTCCATTCGAGTCGATTCAATTTTGGTCTATTCTATTTGATTCCATTCCATCTGATTCCATTCCATACGATTGCATTCCATTCAATTCCATTCCATTTGAATAAATTACATTGGAGACCATTCTTTCGATTCCATTCCTTTCGAGTCCATTTTATTTGAGTCCATTCCATTCGAGTCCATTACGTATGGGTGGATTCCATTCCGTTCCATTCCATTCGATGCCATTCCGTTCTATTCTATTCCATTAGAGTCCATTCCTCTCAAGTCCATTCCATTCCATTCCATTCAATGCCATTCCATTTGATTCTATTGCGTTCGACTCCATTCCATTCCCTTCCATTCCATCCAATTCCATTCCATTCTGTTCCTTTCCATTCCATTAGATTCCATTCCATTCCCTTCCATTTCAATCCAATCCATGCCATTGGTTTCTATTCCATTCGAGTCCATTCCATTCCATTCCATTCCATTCCATTCAATGTGATTCCATTCAATTCTATTTCATTCGACTCCATTCCATTCCATTCCTTTTCATCTGTTTCCATTCCATTTTGTTCCTTTCCATTCCAATCCTTTCTTTTCCATTACATTCCATTCGTTTCCATTTCTTTCGAGTCCATTCCACTCCAGTCCATTCCATTCGAGTCCATTCCAATCCAGTCCATTCCTTTCAAGTCTATTCCATTCCGTTCCATTCGAAATCTTCCCATTACACTCTATTCTATTCTATTCCCTTCAATTCCTTTCAATTCCATTCTATTCGATTCCACTCCTTTCGATTCCATTGCATTCGACTCAATTACATTCAAAGCCATTACATTCCATTGATTTCCATTCCGTTCCATTCAATTCCAATCCCTTCGATTCCATTTTGTTCCATTCCATTCCATTCGAATCCTTTCTATTACAGTATATTCCAAATGATTCCATTCCACTCAATTCCATTCCATTCGATTCCAATCCAATTGATTGCACTCCATTGCATTCCATTGCATTCTATTAGATTCCATTCCATTGATTTCCATTCCATTCCATTTGATTGCATTCCATTCGATTCCATTCCATTTGAATCTATTACATTGCATTCCAGTACATTCGAGTCCTTTCTATTCCAGTCCATTCCATTCCGTTCCATTCCATTCAATTCCATTCCATTCCATAATATTGCATTCCTTTCAATTCCATTGTATTCACATAAATTCCAATTGAAACCATTTCTTTTGTGTTCATTGTATTTGAGTTCATTCCTTTTGAGTCCATTACATTTGTGTCCATTCCATTCCATGCCATTCCATTTCATTCTATTACATTTGAGTCCATTCCATTTGAGCCCATTCCTTTCCATTCGACAACATTATATTCGCTTGTATTATATTTGACTCCACTCCATTCCATTGTGTTCCATCTGCTTTCATTCCATTCTATTCCATTCCATTCCATTCCATTCCATTCCATTCCATTCCATTCCATTCTATTCCATCCCATTCCACTCGATTCTATTCCTTTCGAGTCCATTCCATTCGAATCCTTTCCATTCGATTCCATTCCAATCTATTAGATGCCATTCCTTTCTATTCAATTCCATTCAACTTCATTCCATTCCATTCCATCCGATTCCATTCCATTCTATTCCTTTCCTTTGCATTGCATTGCATTCATTTCAATTCCATTCGAGTCCATTCCACTCCAATCCATTCAATTCGAGTCCATTCCATTCCAGCCCATTCCATTCAAGTCCGTTCCATTCCATTACATTACATACGATATCTCTCCTTTACACTGCATTCCATTCTGTTACTTTCGAATCCATACAATTCCATTCCTTTTGATTCCATTCCATTCTATTCGATTCCATTCGACTCTATTCCATTCGATTCCATTCCATTCCTTTCCATTCCATTCCTTTCCATTCCATTCTGTTAGATTCCTATCCGTTCAATTCTATTTTGTTTCAGTCCATTCCGTCCGAGTCCTTTCCATTCCAGTCCATTCCTTTCGATTCCAATGGACTTCCAATGTAATATCTGATTCCAATCCATTTGATTCCATTCTGCTCAATTCCACTCCGTTCCATTCCATACATTCCATTCCCTTCGATTCCTTTGCATTCCATTCCATTCCATTTTATTACATTCCATTCTATTTCATTCCATTCTAATCAATTACTTTGCTATCCATTACATTGGAGTCTGTTCTATTCCAGTCCATTCCATTCCAGTCCACTCCATTTGATTCCATTGCATTCTATTCCATTGAATACTATTGCATTCCATTCGATTCCATTCAATTCGAATGAATTCCATTCAAAACCATTCCTTTCGAGTCCATTATAGTTGAGTCCATTCCATTCCAGTTGATTATATTTGCATCCATTCCATTCCATTCAATGCCATTGTATTCAGTTCTATTCCATTCGAGTCCATTCCATTCCATTCTACTACATTCCAATCGATGCCATTCCATTTAATTCTATTCCTTTCAACTCCATTCCGTTCCATTGCATTACATTTGATTCCATTCCATTCTATTACTTTATGTTCCATTCCATTCCAAACCACTCCATTCGTTTCCATTCAATTCGAGTCCATTACACTGCAGTCCATTCCATTCGAGTCCATTCCTTTCCAATCTATTCCATTCGAGCCTATTCCATTCCAATGCATTCCATTCCATTCGATATTTTTTCATAACACTCCATTCCATTATATTCCTTTCAATTCCATTCAATTCCTTTCCATTCGATTCCATTCCATGCGATTCCATTCCATTTGACTCCATTGGATTCGAGTCCATTCCATTCCATTCCATTCCATTCCATTCCATTCCATTCAAGTTGATTCCATTCCCTTCCATTACTTTCCATTGGATTCTATTCCATTCGATTCGATTTTGTTCCAGTCCATTCCATTCGAGTCCATTCCATTCCAGTCCATTCCATTCGATTCCATTCCACTAGATTCCACTCCATTCCATTGCTTTGCATTCCATTCTATTCCATTCCATTACATTCCATTCCTTTCCATTTGATGACATTCCTTTCGATTCCGTTCCATTCGAACCTATTGCATTGCAATCCATTACATTCGAATCCGTTCCCTTCCAGGCCATTCCATTCCGGTCCATTCCATTAAATTCCATTCCTTTCGATTCCATTCCATACTATTGCATTCCATTCGATTCTATTCTATTCGAATGAATTCCATTCGAGACCTTTCTTTTCGAGTCCATTCTATTTGAGTCCATTCCATTCGAGTCCATTACATTTGGGTCCATTCCATTCCATTGCTTTTGATGCCATTCAATTCGATTATATTCCATTCGATTATATTCCATTCGAGTCCATTCCATTCGAGGCTGTTCCATTTCATTCCATTTCATTCCATTCCATTCGATATCTTTCCATTACACTCCATTCCATTCCATTCTTTTCCATTCCATTCAATTCCTTTCCATTCAATTCCACTCCATGCTTTCCACTCCATTCGACTTATTTACATTCGAGTCCATTCCATTCCATTCTGTTCCATTCCATTCAATCCGATTCCATTACATTCTATTCCTTTCCATTCTATTCCATTCCACCCCATTCGTTTCCATTCCATTTGAATCCATTACTCCTCTGTCCATTCCATTCGAATCCATTCCTTTCCAATCCATTCCATTTAAGTCCATTCCATTCCATTTCAGTCGATATTTTTTCATTACAGTCCTTTCCTTTCTATTCCTTTCGATTCCATTCAATTCTTTTCCATTCGATTCCATTCCATGCTGTTCCATTCCATTTGACTCCATTCCATTCCATTTCATTCTATTCCATTCCATTCCGTTCGATTCTATTCCATTCGAGGGGATTCCATTCCATTGCTTTCCATTCGAGGTTATTCCATTCGATTCGATTCCATTCCATTCCATTCCATTTCAACCAATTCCATTCCATTCCATTCCATTCCTTTCCATTCCATTCCATTCCATTCCATACCATGCCATTTGTTTCCTTTCCATTCGATTCCATTCCACTCCAGTCCATTCCATTCGAATCCATTCCATTCCATTCCATTCCATTCGATAGGTTTCCTTTACACTCCATTCCAATCTATACTTTTCGTTTCCTTTGAATTCCATTCCATTTGATTCCTTTCCATTCGATTGCATTCTTTTCAACTCCATTCCTTTCGCGTCCATTCCATTCCGTTCCATTCCGTTCCTTTCGATTCCAATCCATTCGATTCCATTTTTGTCCAGACCATTTCATTCGATTCCATTCCATTTGAATCCATTCCATTCGATTCCATTCCACTCGATTCCACTCCGATCCATTCCATTGTGTTCCGTTCTATTCCATTACATTGCATTCCATTCCATTCTATTTGATTACATTCCATTCAATTACATATATTTCGAATCAATTACATGAAAATCCATTACATTCGTGTCCATTCTATTCCAGGCCATTCCATTCGATATCTTTCCAGTACACTCCATTCCATTCTATTCCTTTTGATTCCAATCAATTCCATTCAATTTGATTCCATTCCATTCGATTCCATTTCATTCGAGTCCATTGCATTCCTGTCCATTCCATTCCATTCCATTGCATTCCATTCGTTTCCTTTTGATTCCAATCCGTTCCATTAAATTTTATTCCAGTACATTCCATTCGAGGTCATTCAATTCCAGTCAATTGCATTCGATTCCATTCCATTCGATTCCATTCCTCTCAATTCCACTCCATTCGATTCCATTCCTCTCAATTCCACTCTGTGCCATTCCATTGCATTCCATTCTATTCCATTCCATTGCATTCCATTCCTTTCCATTGGATTAAATTCCATTCAAATCCATTCCATTCTAATCAATTACTTGCAATCCATTACATTAGAGTCCGTTCTATTCCAGTCCATTCCATTCCTGTCCGTTCCATTCGATTCCATTCCATTCGATTCCACTTCATTCGAATCAATTACATTGCATTCCATTGCCTTCGAGTTCACTCTATTACAATCAATTCCTTTCCAGTCCATTTCATTCGATTATATTCCATTAGATTCCATTCCATACTTCTGCATTCCTTTCCATTCCATTCTATTCGAATACATTCCATTCGAGACCATTTCTTTCGAATTCATTCTATTTGAGTCCTTTCCATTCAAGGCGATTATATTTGGGTCCTTTCCATTCCATTTTATTCCATTCGATGCCATTCAATTCGTTTCTTTTCCATTGGAGTCCATTCCATTCAAGTCCATTCCATTCCATTTGATGCCATTCTAATAGATTCTATTCGATTCAACTCCATTCCATTCCATTCGGTTCCATCCGATTCCATTCCATTCTATTCCTTTCCTTTCCATTCCATTCCATTCCACTCGTTTCCATTCCATTCTAGTCCATTCCACTCCAGTCCATTCAATTCAATTCCACTCCACTCCAGTCCCTTCCATTCGAGTCCATTCCATTCCTTCCATTCCATTCGATATCTTACCATTACACTCCATTCCATTCTATTCCTTTCATTTCCGTTCAATTCCATTCCATTTGATTCCATTCCATTTGATTCCATTCCTTTCGTCTCCCTTCCATTCGAGTCCATTCCTTTCCATTCCATTCCATTACATTACATTCCGTTCCGTTCGATTCCAATCCGTTCAATTCCATTTTGTTCCAGTCCATTCCATTCGAGTCCATTCTATTCCAGTGCATTCTATTTGATTCAATTCCGTTCTTTTCCATTCCTTTTGATTCCTTTCCATTCTACTCCATTCCATTTGAGTTCATTCCAATCCATTCCATTCCACTCGTTTCCGTTCGATTCCAATCCATTTGATTCCATTTTGTTCCAGTCCATTGCATTCGATTCCATTCCATTTGATATCTTTCCGTTACACTCCATTCCATTTTATTCCTTTAGAATCCATTCAATTCCATTCCATTTAATTGTGTTAAATTCGATTCCATTCTGTTTGACTCCATTTCATTCGAGTCAATTCCATTCCATTCCATGCCATTCTGTTCGATTCCAATCCATTCAATTCCATTTTGTTCCAGTCCATTCATCACGATACATTCCATTTGATTCCATTCCATTCAATTCCACTGCATACTACTGCATTCCATTCGATTCCATTCTATTAGAATAAATTTCATTTAAGACCTTTCCTTTCGAGTCCATTCTATTTGAGTCCAATCCATTCGAATCTATTACATTTGGGTCCATTCCATTCCATTCAATTCCATTCCATTCCATTACATTCCATTCCCTTAGATGCCCTTCCATTCAGTGCTATTCCATTCGAGTACATTCCATTAGAGTCCATTGAATTCCGTTCCATTCCACTCATTGCCATTCCACTCGATTCTATTCCTTTCAAATCCATTCCATTCCATTCCATTCCATCCAATTCCATTCCATTCTATTCCTTTCCGTTCCATTCCCTTTCATTCATTTCCATTCCATTCGAGTCCATTCCACTCCAGTCCATTCCGTTCTAGTCTGTTCCATTCCAGTCCACTACATTCGAGTCCATTCCACTCCAGTCCATTCCGTTCTAGTCTGTTCCATTCCAGTCCACTACATTCGAGTCCATTCCTTTCCATTCCATTCCAGTCGGTATCTTTCCATTACACTCAAATCCATTCTATTCTTTCGATTCCATTCAATTCCATTCCATTCGATTCCATTCCATTTGATTCCTTTCCATGTGAGTCCATTCCATTCCATTCCATTCCGTTGGATTCCTATCTTTTCCATTGTATTTTGTTCCAGTCTATTCGATTCTAGTCCATTCCATACCAGTCTTTTCCATTCGATTCCAATCTATGTGATTCCATTCCATTCGATTCCATTCCAATCGATTCCACTCCGTTCAATTCCATTGCCTTCCCTTCAATTACATTCCATTGCATTGCACTCCATTGCAGTTGATTACATTCCTCTCATTTCCGTTCCATTCGAATCAATTACATTGCAATCCATTACATTCCAGTCACTTCTATTAAATTCCATTCCATTCCAGTCCATTCCATTCAATTCGTTTCAACTCAATTCCATTCCATACTACTGCATTCCATTCGAATCCATTCTATTGAAATAAATTGATTCAAGACCATTCCTTTCGATTGTATTGTATTTGAGTCCATTCCATTATAGTCCGTTACATTTTGTTCCATTCCATTCCATTCCATGCCATTCCATTCCATTCTATTTAATTCCATGCCATTACCTTCCATTCCATTCCATTCCATTCCATTCCATTCTATTCCAAGTTATTCCATTCTATTCTATTCCATTCGAGTCCATTCCATTCGAATCATTTCCATTCCATTCCATTAAATTCCATTAGAAGCCATTCCATTCGATTCTATTCCATTCGACTTCCTTCCATTCCATACCGTTCCATCTGATTCCATTCCATTTTATTTCTTTCCATTCCTTTCCATTCCATTCCATTCCATTCTATTCCATTCGTTTCCAGTCCATTCGAGTCTTTTCCATTCCATTCCATTCCATTCCATTCTAAGCCATTCTATTCGGTTCTATTCCATTCGAATCCATTCTGTTCCATTCCCTTCCATCCGATTCCATTCCATTTTATTCCATTCCATTCCATTCCATTCCTTCTTTTCCATTCCATTCTATTCCCTTCAATTCCATTCAATTACATTCTATTCGATTCCACTCCATTCGATTCCATTCCATTTGACTCTCTTCAATTCGAGGCCATTCCATTCCATTCCATTCCGTTCGATTCCAATCCTTTCCATTACATTTTGTTCCATGCCATTTCATTCGAGTCCATTCCATTCCAGTTCAATCCAGTCCATTCCTTTCCGTTCAAATCCATTCCATTCGATTCCATTCCACTTGATTCCTCTCCATTCCATTCCATTGCATTCCATTCTATTCCATTTCATTGCATCCCATTCCATTCCATTTGAATACATTCCATGCGATTCCATTCCATTCGAATCTATTACATAGCAGTCCATTTCATTCGAGTCCTTACTAATTTAGTGCATTCAATTCTTTTCCATTCCATTCGATTCCATTCCATTTGATTCCATCCCATAATATTGCATTCCATTCGATTCCATTCTATTCTTATAAATTCTATTCGAGAACATTCCTTTTGAGTCCATTCTGTTTGAGTCCATTCCATTGGAGTCCATTTCATTTGGGTCCATTCCATACTATTCCTTTCCTTTCCATTCTATGCCATTCCATTTGATTCTATTCCATTGGATTCCAATCCATTTGTTTCCATTCCTTTCCATTCGATGCCATTACGTTCGATTCTATTCCATTCGACCCATTCCATTCCATTGCATTCCATCCACTTCCATTCCATTCTATTCCTTTCCAGTCCATTCCGTTCCATTCGTTTCCATTCCATTCGAATCCCTTCCACTCCAGTACATTCCATTCGAATCCATTCCATTATAGTCCATTCAATTTGAGTTCATTCAATTCCATTACATACTTTTCGATATCTTTCCATTTCACTCCATTCCATTCTATTACTTTGAATTCCATTCAATTCCATTCCATTCAATTCCATTCCATTCGTTTCCATTCCATTCAACTCCATTCCATTCCATTCTGTTCCTTTTGATTCCAATCCGTTCGATACCATTTTGTTCCAGTCCATTCCATTCGATTCCATTGCATTCCTTTGCGTTCCTTTATATGCCATTACATTCGATTCTCTTCCATTTGAATCTATCCAATTCCATTCCATTTCATTCCTTTCCATTTCATTCCATTCAATTAAATTCTTTTGCGTTTCATTCCTTTCCATTCCTTTATATACCATTACATTCGATTCTCTTCCTTTCGACTCTATCTGATTCCATTCCATTTTATTCCTTTCCATTTCATTCCATTCAATTACATTCTTTTCTGTTTCATTCCTTTCCATTCCCTTCATTTCCAAACCATTCTATTCCATTCCACTCCAGTCCATTACATTTGAGTCCATTCCATTCCAGTCCTTTCCATTACAGTCCATTCCATTCCATTAAATTACATTTGATGCCATTCCAATAGATTCTATTCCATTCGACTCCATTCCATTCCATTCCGTTGCATCCGATTCCATGCCATTCTATCTTTTAAAATTCATTCCATTCCATTCCATGCGTTTCCATTTCATTTGTTTCCATTCCACTCCAGTCCATTCCATTCGAGTCCATTGCATTCCATTCGAGACAATTCCATTCCTGTCCATTTGATATCTTTCCATTTCACTCCATTCCATTCTATTCCTTTTGATTCCATTCAATTCCAGTCCTTTCAATTCCATTCATTTCGATTCCATTCCATTTGATTCCATTCCATTCGTTTCCATTCCATTCGAGTCCATTCCGTTTGATTCCATTCCATTCCTTTCCATTCGATTCCAATCTTTTCAATTCCATTTTGTTCCAGTCCATTCCAGTCGATTCCATTCCATTCCATTCCATTTGATATCACTCCATTACACTCTTTTCCATTCTATTCCTTTTGATTCCATTCAATTCTATTCCAGTCAATTCCATTCCATTCGAATCAATTACATTGCAATCCATTACATTCTAGTCTGTTTTATTCCAGTCAATTCCGTTCCAGTCCATTCCATTTGATTCCTTTCAATTCGACTCCATTCCATTCGACACCATTCCATTCCATTCCATTACGTTCTATTCCGATCTGTTCGAATGCATTTTGTTCCAGTCCAATCAATTAGAGTCCATTCCATTGCAGTTCATTACATTCGATTCCATTCCACTCAATTCTACTCCTTTCCATTACATTGCATTCCATTCTATTCCATTCCTTGCATTCCATTCTATTCTATTGGATTACATTCCATTCGATTCCATTCCATTCGAATCAATTACATTGAAATCCATTACACTTCTGTCCTTTCTAATCCAGGCCATTCCATTCCGGTACATTCCATGTGATTCCATTCCATTTGATTCCTTTCCATAATATTGCATTCCATTCGATTCCATTCTATTGGTAAAAAATCGATTCGTGGCCATTCCTTTCGAATATATTCTATTTGAATCCATTCCATTCGAGTACATTATATTTGGGTCCATTCCATTCCATTCCATTTCATTCCATTCCAATCCATTCCATTCAATGACATTCCATTCGATTCTATTCCATTCGAGTCCATTCCAATCCAGTCCATTCCCTTTGAGTCCATTCGATTCCATTTCATTCCATTCGATATATTTCCTTACACTCCATTCCATTCTATTCCTTTTGATTCCATTCAATTCCATTCCATTCAATTCAATTCCATTCGATGCCATTCCATTCGATTTCATTCCATTGAACTCCATTCCAATCGATTCGATTACATTCCATTCTGTTCTGTTCGATTGCAATCCGTTTGATTCCATTTTGTACCTGTCCATTCCATTAGAGTACATTCCATTCCAGTACATTCCATTTGATTCCATTCAATTCTATTCCATTCCATTGTATTCCATTCCACTCGATTCCACTCCGTTCCATTCCATTGCATTCCATTCTATTCCTTTACGTTGCATTCCTTTCCATTCCGTTTGATTACATTCCATTCGATTCCATTCCATTCAAATCAGTTACTATACAATCCATTACATTCGAGTCCATTCTATTCCAGTCCATTCCACTCTTGTCCATTCTGTTCGATTCCATTCCATTCTATTGCATTCCATACTATTGCAATACATTCTATTCCATTCTATTCGAATAAATTCCATTCAAGACCATTACTTTCGAGTCCATTATATTTGAGTCCATTCAATTCGAATCCATTCCATTCTATTCCATTCCATTTGATGCCATTCCATTCTATTCTATTTCATTCGACTGCATTCAATTCCATTCCTTTCCATCCAATTCCATTCCATTCCATTCCTTTCCATTTCATTCCATTCCTTGCCATTCCACTGCATTCGTTTCCATTCCATTCAAGTCTATTCCACTCCAGTCCATGCCATTGGAGTCCCTTCCATTCCATTTTATTCCATTCGACTGAATTCTGTTCCATTCCATTTGATCCGACATCTTTCCATTACACTCCATTCCATTCTATTCCTTTGGATTTCTTTCAATTCCGTTTCATTCTATTCCATTCCTTTCTGCTTCATTCCATTCGACTCCATTCCATTGAAGTCCATTCCATTCCATTCTATTCCATTCTTTTCCGTTCCATCCGATTCCAATCGGTTCCATGCCATTTTGTTAAAGTCCTTTCCATTCGAAGTCATTTCATTCAATTCTATTCCATTTGACTCCCTTTCATTCAATTCGGTTCTAACAGATTCCATCCATTCTATTCCTTCCCATTCCATTCCATTCCATTCCATTCGAGTCCATTTCACTCCAGTCCATTCCATTCGAGTCCATTCCACTCCAGTCTGTTCCATTGGAGTCCATTCCATTCCAGTCCATTCCATTTGAGGCCATTCCATTCCATTCCATTTGATATCTTTCCATTGCACTCAATTATATTCTATTCCTTTCGATTACATTCAATTCCATTCCACTCATTTCCATTACATTCGATTCCATTCCGTTCAACTCCATTCCATTTGAGTCCTTTCCATTCCATTCCATTCCGTTCTGTTTGATTAAAAATCGTTCAATTCCATTTTGTTCCAGTCCATTCCATTCGAGTCCATTCCGTTGCAGTCCATTCCATTCGATTCTATTCCATTCGATTACATTCCACTCGATTCCACTGCATTCCACTCCTTTGCATTCCATTGTATTCCATTCCATTGCATTCCATTCCATTCCATTTGATTACATTCCATTCGATTCCATTCAATTCGAGTCAATTTCATTGCAATCCATTACATTTGAGTCCATTCTATTCCAGTCCATTGGAATCCGGTACATTCCATTCAATTCCATTCCATACTATTGCATTCCATTCGAAACCATTGCATTCGAATAAATTCCATAAGAGACTATTCCTTTCATGTCCATTCAATTTGAGTCCATTCCATTTGCGTCCATTATATTAGGGTCCATTCCATTCCCTTCCATTCCATTCCATTAGATGCCATTTCATTCGATTCTACTCCATTCGAGACCATTCCACTCCAATCCATTCCATTAGAGTTCATTCCATTCCAGTCCAATCCATTCGTTTCCATTCCATTCCATTCCATTCCATTCCATTCCATTCCATTCCATTCCATTCGATATGTTTCCATTACTCTCCATTCCATTGTATTCCTTTCGATTCCATTGAATTTCATTGCTTTCGATTCCATTACTTTCTATTCCATACCATTCCATTCGATTCCATTCCATTCGACTCCATTCCATTCGAGTCCATTCCAATCCATTCAATTCCACTCTGTTCCATTCAATTCCAATCCATTCAATTCCATTTTGTTCCAGTCCATTCCATTCGAATCCATTCCATTACATTCCATTTGATATCTTTCCGTTACACTCCATTCCATTCTATTCCTTTCGATTCCATTCAATTCCATTCCATTCGATTCCATTCCATTCGATTCCATTCTGTTTGACTCCATACCATTCCACTCCATTCAATTCCATACCATTCCATCCCATTCGATTCCAGTCCGTTCGATTCCATTTTGTTCTAGTCCATTCCATCCTGCTACATTCCATTCCATTCCATTCCATACTATTGAATTCCATTCGATTCCATTCTATTTGAGTAAATTTCATTCGAGACAATTCCTTTACAGTCCATTCTATTCGAGTCCATTCCATTTGAGTCCATTCCATTCGATTCCATTCCATTTGATTCCTTTCCACTCGATTCCACTCTGTTCCATTCCATTGCATTCCATTCTATTCTATTCCATTGCATTCCATTCCATTCCATTTGATTATGTTCCATTCGATTACACTCAATTTCAATCAATTACATTGCAATCCATTACATTCGAGTACGTTCTATTCCACTCCATTCCATTCCGGTCCATTCCATTCGATTCCATTCCATTTGATTCCATTCCATACTATTGCATTCCATTTGATTCCATTCTATTCGAACACATTTCATTCGAGACCATTCCTTTCGAATCCATTCTTTTTGAGTCCCTTTTATTCGAGTCCATTACATTTCGGTCCATTCCATTCCATTCAATTCCATTCCATTTCATTCCATTCCATTCCATTCCATTCCATCCGATTCCATTCCATTCTATTCCATTCCATTCCATTCGTTTCCATTCCATTCGAGTCCATTCCACTCCAGTCCATTCCATTCGAGTCCATTCCACTCTCTTCCATTCCATTTGAGTCCATTACATTCCAGTTCATTTTGTTCGAGTCCATTCCTTTCCATTCCATTCCTTTCGATATCTTTCCATTACACTCCATTCCATTCTATTCCTTTGAATTCCATTCAATTCCATTCGATTCGATTCCATTCCATTCCGTTCTATTCCAATCGACTCCATTCCATTCTAATCCATTCCATTCCTGTCCGTTACATTGGAGTCCATTCCATTCCGTTCCATGCGATTCGATATCTTTCCATTTCACTCCATTCCATTCTATGCCTTTTGATTCCATTCAATTCCATTCCATTTGATTCCATTCCATGCAGTTCCATTCCATTTGACTCCATTCCATTCGAGTCCGTTCCATTCAACTCCTTTCCATTCCGCTCCGTTTGATTCCAATCATTTCCATTCCGTTTTGTTCCTGTACACTCAATTGTTGTCCCTTCCATTCCAGTCCGTTCCATTCGATTCCATTCCATTCGATTCCATTCCATTC
>NT_187384.1:158478-234039 GCF_000001405.40 Homo sapiens | reverse complement strand
CTATTACCTTGCAATCCAGTATATTCGAGTCCTTTCTATTCCTTTCCCTCCCATTCTGGTCCACTCCATTTGATTCCATTCCATTTGATTCCTTTCCATACTGCTGCATTCCATGCGATTCCATTCTACTTGCTTAAATTCCATTCGAGACCATTTCTTCTTGTCCATTTTATTTGAGTCCATTCCATTCGAGTCCATTATATTTGGGTCCATTCTAATTCATTCCATTCCATTTCATTCCATTCAATTCCATTGCATTCGATTCTCTTCCATTCGAGTCCATTCCATTTGAATCCATTCCATTCCGTTCCATTCCATTCCATTTGATACCATTCCATTCGACTCCATTCCACTCCATTCCATTCCATTCCATTCCATTCCGTTCCATTTGTTTCCATTCCACTGCAGTCCATTCCATTCGAGTCCATTGCACTCCAGTCAATTCCCTTCAAGTCCATTCCATTGTAGTCCATTCCATTCCACTCCATTCCATTCCATTCAATATCTTTCCATTGCACTCCATTCCATTCTATTCCTTTTGATTCCATTCAACTCCATTTCATTCGATTCCATTCCATTCTATTACATTCCATTCGAGTTCATTCCATTCCATTCCTTTCCGGGGCGTTCGATTACAATCCTTTCGATTCCATTTTGTCCCAAGCCCATTCCATTCGAGTCCATTCCATTCGAATACATTTAATTCGATTCCATTCCATTGGAACCACTCCAATCGATTCCACTCCGTTCCGATCCATTCCATTGCATTCCATTCTATTTCATTCCATTCCATTCCATTCCATTTCATTCCATTCCATTCCATTCCATTCCATTCCATTCCATTAAATTCATATCAATTGCATTGCAATCCATTACATTCGAGATTGTTCTATTCCAGTCCATTCCATTCTGGTCCATTCCATTCGATTCCATTCCGTACTATTTCATTCCATTCAATTCCATTGTATTCAAATAAATTCCATTTGAGACCATTCCTTTTGATTCCATTCTATTTGAGTCCTTCCATTTGCAACCAATATATTTGGTTCCATTTCATTCCATTCCATTCCATTTTATTCCATTCCATTCGATGCCATTCCATTCGTTTCTATTCCATGTGAATCCATTCCATTCGATTCCATTCCATTTGTCTACATTCCACTCTGTTCCATCTGATTCCATTCCATTCTATTCCTTTCCATTCCATTCTTTCCATTCGTTTCCATTTCGTTCGAGTCCATTTCACTCCAGTCCATTCCATTCGTGTCCATTCTATTCCAGTCAATTCCATTCAAGTCTATTCCTTTCCATTCCATTCCATTCGATATCTTTCAATTACTCTCCGTTCCATTCAATTCCATTCCATTCAATTGCATTCCATTCGATTCCATTGAATTCAATTCCATTCCATTCGACTCCATTCCATTCGAGTCCATTCCATTCCGTTCCATTCCATTCGATGCCATTCCATTCGATTCTATTCCATTCGACTCCATTCCATTTGATTCCATTCCACTCGATTCCACTCCACTCCATAACACTACATTCCATTCTATTCCACTTCATTCCGTTCCATTCCATTCAATGCCATTCTTTTCGATTCTATTCCATTCAAGTCCATTCTATTCGTGTCCATTCCATTCCATGCGATTCCATTCCATTCTATTCCTTTCCATTCCATTCCATTCCATTCGTTTTCATTCATTCGTGTCCATTCCCCTCCAGTCAATTCCATTCGAGTCTCTACCATTCCAGTCCATTCCATTCGAGTCCATTCCATTCCATTCCATACCATTTGATATCTTTCCATTACACTCCATTCCATAATACTCCTTTCGATTCAAATCGATTGCATTCCATTTGTTTCCATTCCATTCGATTCCATTCCATTCAACTCCATTCCATTCGAGTGCATTCCATTCTATTCCATTCCATTCCATTCCTTTAAATTAAAATCCTTTCCATTCCATTATTGTCCAGTACAGTCCATTCAAATCCGTTCTATTCCAGTCCTTTATATTCAATTCCCTTCCATTTGATTCCATTCCACTCTACACCACTGTCTTCCATTCCATTCCATTAAATTCTATTCCATTCCATTGCATTCCATTCCATTCCATTTGATTACATTCCATTTGATTTCTTTCCATTCACATCAATTACATTGCAATCCTTTACATTCATGTCTGTTCTATGCCAGTCCATTCCATTCCGGTCCATTCCATTCGATTCCATTCCATTTGATTCCATTCCATACTATTGCATTCCATTTGATTCCATTCCATTCGAATAAATTCCATTAGAGACCATTCCTTTTGAGTCCATTCTATTTGATTCCATTCCATTTGAGTCCATTACATTTGAGTCCATTTCATTCCATTCCATTCCATTTGATGCCATTCCATTCTATCATATTCCATTCGAGTCCATTCAATTCCATTACATTCCATTCCAATCTATTCGATGCCATTCCATTTGATTCTATTCCATTCTACTTTATTCAATTCCATTCAGTTCCATCCATTTCCATTCCATTCTATTCCTTTCCATTACATTCCTTTCGTTTCTAATCCATTCGAATCCATTCCGCTCCAGTCCATTCCATTTGAGTCCATTCCATTCCAGTCCATTCCATTCGAATCCATTCCATTCCATTCGATGTCTTTCCATTGCACTCCATTAAATTCTGTTCCTTTCGATTCCATTCAATCCCATTCCATTCGATTGCATTCCATTCGGTTCAATTTCATTCGACTCCATTGCATTCGAGTACATTCCATTCCGTTCCATTCAATTCTAATCTGTTCGATTACCTTTTCTTACAGTCCATTCCATTCAAGTCCATTCCATTCCAGTCCATTCCATTCGATTCCATTCCATTCACATCTTTTCCATTCAATTCCACTCCACTCGATTCCAGTCCGTTCCATTCCATTGCATTCCTTTCTATTCCATTCCATTGCGTACCATTCCATTCCATTTTATTACATTCCATTCGTTGCCATTCCATTCAAATAAGTTACATTGCAATCCATTACATTCGAGTCCGCTGTATTCCAGTCCATTTCATTCCTGTCAATTCCATTAGATTCTATTCCATTCTATTGCATTCCATACAATTGCATTCCTTACGATTCCATTCTATTTGAATAAATTCAATTCGAGTCCATTCCTTTCGAGTCCATTCTATCTGAGTCCATTCCGTTTGAGTCCATTACATTTGGGTCCATTCCATTCCATTCTATTCGATGCCATTCCATTTCATTCTATTCCATTCGTTTCCATTCCTTTCGCTTCCATTCCATTCCATATGTTGCCATTCCAGTCCATTCTATTCCATCCAATTCCAATCAATTCTATTCATATCCATGCCATTATATTCCATTTGTTTCCATTCCATTCGAGTCCATTCCAATCCAGTCCATTCCATTCGAGTCCGTTCCATTCCAGTCCATTCCATTCCATTCCACTCGATATCTTACCATTACACTCCATTCCATTCTGTTCCTTTCGATTTCATTCAATTCCATTCCATTCGACTCTATTCCGTTCGATTCCATTCCTTTAGACTCCATTCCATTGGAGTCCATTCCATTGCATTCTGTTCTATTCCATTCTGTTTGATTCCAATCTGTTTGATTCCATTTTGTTCCAGTCCATTCCACTCAAGTCCATTCCATTTGACTCCATTCCATTCGATTCCATACCATTCAATTCCATTGCATTCGAGACCATTCCATTCCTTTCCATTCGATTCCAATAGGTTCGATTCCGATTTGTTCCATTCCATTCCATTTGATTCCATTCCATTCCAGTCAATTACATTCTATTCCATTCCATTTGATTCCATTCCATTCAATTCCATACAAGTCGATTATACTCCGCTCCATTCCATTGCTTTCCATTCTAATCCATTCCATGCCATTCCATTCCCTTCTATTCAATGCCATTCCATTTGATTATATTCCATTCGAGTACATTACTTGCGATTCCAATCCATTCCATTCCATTCCATTCCATTTGATGCCATTCCATCTGATTCCAATCCATTCGAAATACATTGCATTCGAGACCATTCCATTCTATTCCATTCCATTCCGTTCCGTTGAAATCCAAGTCGTTCGATTCTATTTTGTTCCAATCCATTCCATTCAACTGTACTCCATTCAATGCCATTCCATGCGATTCCATTCCAATTGATTCCATTCCACTCGATTCCACTCCATTCCATTCCATGGCATTCAATTCTATTCCACTTCATTGAATTCCATTCCATTCCATTCCATTCCATTCCATGCCATTCTATTTGATTCTATTCCATTCGAGTCCATACAACTCGAATCCATTCCTTTCCATTCCACTCGATGCCATTCCATTCGATTTTATTCCACTTGACTCCATTCCATTCCATTCCATCTCATTCCATTCCATTCTATTCCTTTCCATTACATTCCATCTGATTCCATTCCATTCTATTCCTTTCCATTCCATTCCATTCCATTCCTTCGTTTTCATTCTTTCATGTCCTTTCCACTCCAGTCCATTCCATTTGAGTCCTTTCCATTCCAGTCCATTCTATTCGAGTCCATTGCTTTCCATTCCATTTAATATCTTTCCATTACGCTCCATTCCATTACATTCCTTTCAATTCCAATCAATTCCATTCCATTTGATTCCATTCCATTCGATTGAATTCCATTCGACTCTGTTCCTTTCGAGTGCATTCCATTCCATTCCATTCCATTCCTTTCAATTCCAATCCATTCCATTCCTTTTTGTTCCAGTCCATTCCATTCGAATCCATTACATTCCTGTCCATTCCATTCGATTCCTTTCAATTCGATTCCATTGCACTCAATTCCACTCTGTTCCTTTCCTTTCCATTCAATTCTATACCATTCCTATGCATTCAATTACATTCCATTTGATTACATTCCATTCAATTCCATTCCATTCGAATCAATTACATTGCAATCCATTTCATGTGAGTCCGTTCTATTCCAGTCCATTCCATTGCAGTCCATTCCATTGTATTACATTCCATTCTATTCCATTCCATACTACTGCATTCCATTTGATTCCATTCTATTCGAATAAATTTCTTTCGAGACCATTCCTTTCAAGTCCGTTCTATTTGATTCTATTCCATTCGATTCCATTACATTTGGGTACTTTCCATTCAATTCTTTTCTTTCCATTAGATGCCATTCCATTCTATTCTATTCCTTTCAAGTCCATTCCATTCGAGTCCATTCCATTCCATTCCATTCCAATTCGTTCGATGCCATTCCATTTGATTCTATTCCGTTCGACTCCATTCCTTTCCATTCCGATCCATCCTTTTCCATTCCATTCTATTCCTTTCCATCCCATTCCATACGTTTCCATTCCATTCGAGTCTATTCAGTTGCAGTCCATTCCATTCGAGTCCATTTTTTCCAGTCTATTCCTTTCGAGTCCATTCCATTCCATTGCATTCGATATCTTTCCATTATACTCCATTCCATTCTATTCCTTTCGATTTCATTCAATTCCATTTTATTCGATTCCATTCCATTCTGTTCCATTCCATTCGACTCCATTCCATTCCAGTCTATTCCATTCCATTCCATTCCGTTCCATTCTGTTCCATTCGATTCCAATCTGTTCGATTACATTTTGTTCCAGTGCATTTCATTCGAGTCCATTCCATTCCAGTCCATTGCTTTTGACTCCATTCCATTCGATTCCATTCCACACATTTCCACTCCTTTCCATTCCATTGCATACCTTTCTATTCCATTCCATTGCATGCAATTCCATTCCATTCCATGTAATTACATTCCATTTGTTTCCATTCCATTCAAATCAATTACCTTGCAATACTTTACCTTCGAGTCTGTTCTATTCCAGTCCATTCCGTTCATGTCCACTTCATTCTATTCCATTCTGTACTATTGCATTCCATACGAAACAATTTTATTCAAATAAATTCCATTCAAACCCATTCCTTTCGATTTCATTCTATTCGAGTCCATTCCATTCGATTCCATTACATTTGTGTCCATTCCATTCCATTCAATTCCATTCGATGCCATTCCATTCGAATCAATTCAATTCGAGTCCATTCCCTTCAATTCCATTCCATTCCATTCGAAGCCATTCCATTTGACTCCATTCCATTCCACTCCATTCTATAAGATTACATTCCATTCCATTGTATTACTTTCCACGCCATTCCATTACATTCGTTTCCATTCCATTCTAGTCCATTCCACTCTGGTCCATTCCATTCGAGTCCATTCCATTCGAGTCCATTCCATTCCATTCCATTCGATATTTTTCAATTACACTGCATTCCATTGTATTAATTACAATCGATTCCATTCAATTTCATTCCATTCAAAGCCATTCCATTCGAGTCCCTTCAATTCCATTGTATTCCATTCCGTTCAATTCTTATCTGTTCGATTCCATTTTGTTCAAGTCCTTTCCAATGGAATCCATTCCTTTCCAGTCCATTCCATTCGATTCCATTCCATTCGACTCCTTTGATTTCGAGACCATTCCATTCCCTTCCTTTCCATTCAGTTCATTTCCAATACATTCGATTCCATTTTTGTTCCACTCCATTCCATTCGACTCCATTCCATTCGATTTCATACCACTCAATTCCACTCCATTCCATTGCATTCCATTCTATTCCATTTCATTCCATTCCATTACATTCTAGTCGGTGCCATTCCATTCGATTATTTTCCATTTGACTCAATTCCATTCCATTCCACTCCATTCCGTTCCATTCCATTCCATCCGATTCCATTCCATTCTATTCCTTTCCATTCCATTCCATTCGTGTCAAGTCATTCGAGTCCGTTCCACTGCAGTCCATTCCATTCCAGTCCATTCCATTCGAGCCCATTCCATTCTATTCCATTGCATTCCATGTGATATCTTTCCATTATACTCCATTCCATTATATTCCTTTCAATTCCATTCAAATACTTTCCGTTTGAATCCATTCCATTTGATTCCATTCCATTCGACACCATTCCATTTGACACCATTCCATTCGAATCCATTCCTTTCCATTCCATTCCATTCCTTCCTATTGCAATCCATTCCATTCCATTTTGTTTCAGTCCATTCCATTCGAGTCCATTCTATTCCAGTCCATCCCTTTCAATTCCATTCCACTCAATTCCATTCCACTCAATTCCACTCTGTTACATTCTATTGCATTGCATTCTATTCCATTCCATTGCATTCCATTCCATTTTGTATAATTCAATTCAAATCCATTCCATTCGAAACAATTACATGGCAATCCATTACATTCGAGTCCATTCCATTCCAGTCCATTCCATCGATTAAATTCCATTCGATTCCATTCCATTTGATTCCATTCCACTCGATTCCACTCCTTTCCATTCCATTGCATTGAATTCTATTCCATTCCATTGCACTTCATTCCATTCCATTTGATTACATTCCATTGAATTCCATTCCATTCGAATCTATTACCTTGCAATCCAGTATATTCGAGTCCTTTCTATTCCTTTCCCTTCCATTCTGGTCCACTCCATTTGATTCCATTCCATTTGATTCCTTTCCATACTGCTGCATTCCATGCGATTCCATTCTACTTGCTTAAATTCCATTCGAGACCATTTCTTCTTGTCCATTTTATTTGAGTCCATTCCATTCGAGTCCATTATATTTGGGTCCATTCTAATTCATTCCATTCCATTTCATTCCATTCAATTCCATTGCATTCGATTCTCTTCCATTCGAGTCCATTCCATTTGAATCCATTCCATTCCGTTCCATTCCATTCCATTTGATACCATTCCATTCGACTCCATTCCACTCCATTCCATTCCATTCCATTCCATTCCATTCCGTTCCATTTGTTTCCATTCCACTGCAGTCCATTCCATTCGAGTCCATTGCACTCCAGTCAATTCCCTTCAAGTCCATTCCATTGTAGTCCATTCCATTCCACTCCATTCCATTCCATTCAATATCTTTCCATTGCACTCCATTCCATTCTATTCCTTTTGATTCCATTCAACTCCATTTCATTCGATTCCATTCCAATCAATTCCATTTCATTCGAGCCCATTCCATTCGAGTCCATTCCATTCCATTCCATTCCATTCCGTTTGATTCCATTTTGTTCCAATCCATTCCATTCGAGTCTTTCCATTCCAGTCCATTCCATTTGATTCCATTCCATTCATTTCCATTGCACTCGATTCTACTACGTTCCATTCCATTTGATTGCATTCTATTCCATTCCATTGCATACCTTTCCATTCCATTTGATTACATTCCCTTTTGTTTCACTCCTTTCGCATCAAATACATTGCAATCAATTACATTCGAGTCCGTTCTATTCTAGTACATTCCATTCCTGTACATTCCATTCGATTCTATTCCATTCTTTTCCGTTCCATACTATTGCATTCCATACGATTCCATTCTATTCAAATAAATTCCTTTCGAGAAAATTACTTTCGAGTACATTCTGTTTCAGTACATTCCATTCGAGTCCATTACATTTGGGGCCATTCCATCCCATTCAATTCCATTCCATTCTATTCCATTCTGGACCATTCCATTGGAGTCCATTCCATTCCATTCCAATAAATTCGATGCCATTCCATTCTATTCTATTCCATTCGAGTCCATTCCATTCCATTTCATTCGATGTCATTCCATTCGATTCTATTCCATTCTAGTCCATTCCATTCCATTCTATGCCATTCCATTCGATTCTATTCCATTCGACTCCATTCCATTCCATTCCATTCCATCTGATTCCATTCCATTGTATTCATTTCCATTCCATTCCTTTTTATTCGTTTACATTCCTTTTGAGTCCATTCGACTCCACTCCATTCCATTCGAGTCCATTCCATTCCAGTCCTTTCCATTCGAGTCCATTCCGTTCCATTCCATTCCTTTCGATATTTTTCCTTTACACTCCAATTCATTCCATTTTTTGATTCCATTCAATTCCGTTCTGTTCAATTCCATTTCATTCGGTTCCATTCCATTCGACTGCATTCCAATTGAGTCCATTCCATTCCATTCCATTCCATTCAATTCCAATCCTTTTGATTCCATTTTGTTCCAATCCATTCCTTTCGTGTCCATTCCATTCCATTCCATTCCACTCCATTCGATTCCATTCCATTCCATTCCATTCCACTCGATTACCCTCCGTTCCATTCCATTGCATTAGATTCTATCCTTTCCAATGCATTCCATTCCATACCTTTTGATTAAATACCATTTGATTCCATTCCATTAGAATCAATTACATTGTAATCCATTACATTCGAGTCCGTTCTATTCCAGTCCATTCCATTCCAGTCCATTCCATTTGATTTCATTACATTCGATTCCATTCCATGTTATTGCATTCCATTTGATTCCATTCTATTTGAATAAATTCCATTCGAGACCTTTTGTTTCGAGTCCGTTCCATTTGAGTCCATTCCATTCGAGTCCATTACATTTGGGTCCATTTCATTCCATTGCATTCGCTGCCATTCCATGCTATTCTATTCCATTCGAATCCATTCCATTAGAGTCCATTCCATTCCATTCCTTTCCAATCCATTCGATGCCATTCCATTCAATTCTATTCCATTCGACTCCATTCGATTCCATTCCGTTCCAACCTATTCCATTCCATTATATTCCTTTCCAACCTATTCCATTCCATTCTATTCCTTTCCATTCCATTCCTTTCCATTCGTTTCCATTCCATTCGTGTCCATTGCACTGCACTCCATTCCATTTGAGTCCATTGCATTCCAGTTTATTCCATTCGATTCCATTCCATTCCATTCCACTCCATTTGATATCTTTCCATTGCACTCCATTCCATTAAATTCCTTTTGATTCCATTCCATTCCATTCCATTCTGTTCCATTCCATTCGAATCCATTCCATTCTATTCCTTTCCATTTCATTCCATTCCATTCTGTTCCGTTCAATTCCAGTCTGTTCGATAACATTTTGTTACTGTCCATTCCCTTCGAGTCCATTCCATTCCACTCCATTCCATTCGATTCCATTCCATTCAATTCCATTCCATTCGATTCCATTACACTGGATTCCACTCCATTCCATTCCATTGCATTCCTTTCTATTCCATTCCATTGCACACCATTCAATTCCATTGGATTACATTCCTTTCATTTCCATCCCATTCAAATCAATTACATTGCCATCCATTACATTCGTGTCCATTCTATTCCTGTCCATTCCATTCGATTCTAATCCATTCGATTCCATTCATTATTATTGCATTTCATACGATTCCATTCTATTCGAATAAATTCCATTCGAGACCTTTCCTTTCGAGTCTATTCTATTTGAGTCCATTACATTTGGGTCCATTCCATTCCATTCCATTCCATTCCATTCGATGCCATTCCATTCGAGTCCATTTCATTCGATTCCATTTGATTCCATTCGATGCCAATTCATTCGATTCTATTCCAATCGAATCCATTCCATTTCATTCTGTTCCAACCGATTCCATTCCCTTCTATTCCTTTCCATTCCATTCGTTTCCATTCCATTTGAGTCCATTCCACTCCGGTACTTTCCGTTCGAGTCCATTCCATTCGATATCATTCCATTACACTCCATTGCAGTCTATTCCTTTCGATTCCATTCAACTCCATTCAATTCGACTCCATTCCATTTGATTCCATTCCATTCGACTGCATTCAATTCGTGTCCATTCAATTCCATTCCATTCTTTTCCGTTCCATTCGATTCCTATCCATTGGATTCTGTTATGTTCCAGTCCATTCCATTCGAGTCCATTCCATTCCAGTCCCTTCCATTCGATTCCATTGCATTCGAATCCATTCCACTGAATTCCACTCCATTCCATTCCTTTGCATTTCATACTATTCCATGCCATTGCATTCCATTCCATTCCTTTTGATTACTTTCCATTCGATTCCGTTCCATTCAAATCAATTAGTTTGGAATCCATTATATTCGAGTCTGTTCTATTCCAGTCCATTCCTTTCCATTCCATTCCATTGGATTCCATTCCATTGGATTCCATTCCATACTATTGCATTCCTTTAGATGCCATTCTAATTCAATAAATTCCATTCGAGAGCATGCCTTTCCAGTCCATTCTATTTGAGTCCATTCCATTCAAATCCATTACAATTGTTTCCATTCCATTCCATTCCATTCCATTCTATTCGATTCTACTGAATTCGAGACCATTGTATTCGAGTCCATTCCATTCCATTTCATTCCATTCCATTCCATTCCATTCCATTCCATTCCATTCCATTCTCTTTGATGCAATTCCATTGCAATTCCATACAATTCTATTCCATTCGACTACATTCAATTCCTTTCTGTTCCAACAGATTCCATTCCATTCTCTTCCTTTCCATTTCATTCCATTCCATTCCATTCGTTTCCATTACATTTGAGTCCATTCCACTCCAGTCCATTTCATTCGAGTCCATTCCATTCCAGTCCATTCCATTCGAGTCCATTGCATTTCACTCAATATCTTTCCATTACAATCTATTCCATTGTATTCCTTTCATCACCATTCAATTCCATTGCATTCAATTCCATTCCATTCAATTCCATTCCATTCGATTCCATTACATTCAATTCCATTTCACTCGATTCCACTCCATTCGATTCCTTTGCATTCCATTATATTCTATTCTATTGCATACCATTCCTTTCCATTTGAATACATTCCATTCGATTCCATTGCATTCAAAGCAATTTCATTGCAATCCATTATATTCGAGTCCTTTCTATTCCAGTCCATTCTATTCCAGTCCATTCCATTCGATTCCATTCCATACTATTGCATTCCATGCGATTCCATTCTATTCGAATAAATTCCATTCGAAACCATTCCTTTCTTGTCCATTCTATTTGAGTCCATTCCTTTCGAGTCCATTACATTTGGGTCAATTCCATTTCATTCCATTACATTTAATTCCATTCAATTCCATTGCATTCGATTCTATTTCATTTGAGTCCAATCCATTCAAATCCATTCCATTCCATTTGATGTCATTCCATTCGATTATATTCCAATCGACTTCATTCCACTCCATTCCATTCCATCCGATTCCATTCAATTGTATTCCTTTCCATTCCATTTCATTCCGTTTTATTCCATTCCATTCGAGCCAATTCCACTACAGTCCATTCTATTCAAGTCCATTCTACTCCAGTCAATTCCATTCGAGTCCATTCCATTCTATTACATTCCATTTGAGTCAATTCCATTCCATACCATTCCATTTGGTATCTTTTCTTTGCACTCCATTCCTTTCAATTCCATTCAATTCATTTCATTCGATTCCATTCCATTCGAATCCATTCTATTCCTTTCCATTCCATTCCGTTCCGTTCGATTCCAATCAGTTTGATTCCATTTTCTTCCAGTGCATTCCTTTTGAGTCCATTCCATTCCAGTCCATTCCATTCCAGTCCATTCCATTCGATTCCTTTCCATTCAATTCCATTCCTCTCGATTCCATGGCATTCCATTCCATTTCATTGCATTCTATTCCTTTCCATTGCATACCATTCCATTCCATTTGATAACATTCCATTTGATTCCATTCCATTCAAATCAAATACATTGCAATCCATTACATTCGAGTCCTTTCTATTCCAGTACATTCTATGCCTGTCCATTCCATTCGATTCTGTCCCATTCATTTCCGTTCAATACTATTGCTTTCCATTAAATTCCATTCTATTCAAATATATTCGATTCAAGACCATTCCTTTTGAGTCCATTCTATTTGAGTCCATTCCATTCGAGTCCATTACATTTGGGTCCATTCCATTCCATTCCATTCGATGCCATTCCATTAAATTCCATTCCATTGCATTCGATGCCATTCCATTCGATTGTATTCCATTCGACTCCATTCCATTCCATTCCATTCCTTCCTATTCCATTCCTTTCTATTCCTTTCCATATTCGTTTCCATTGCATTCGAGTATGTTCCTCTTCAGTCCATTCCATTCGAGTCCATTCTATTCCAGTCCATTCCATTCGACTCCATTCAATTCCTTTCCATTAGATATCTTTCCATTACACTCCATTAGATTCTATTCCTTTCTATTCCATTCAATTCCATTTCATTCTATTCCATTCCATTCGATTCCATTCCAATTGACTCTATTCCATTCGGGTCCTTCACATTCCATTGCATTCCATTCTGTTCTGTTTGATTCCCATTTGTTCGATTCCATTTTCTTCCAGTCCATTTCTTTCGTATACAGTCCTTTCCAGTCCATTCCATAGGAGTCCCATGCTTTCCATTCTATTCAATTCGATGTCATTCCTTTCTATTCTATTTGATTTGGGTCCATTCAATTCGAGTCCATTCCATTCCATGCCATTCCATTCTATTCTATTCCATTTGACTTCATTCCATTCCATTCCATTCCATCCGATTCCATTCTATTGTTTTCCATCCCATTCCATTCTTTTCCACCCCATTCCATTCCATTATATTCGTTTCCATACCATTCGAGTCCATTCCACTCCAGTCCATTAGATTCGCGTCCATTTCATTCCAGTGCATTCCATTCAAGTCCATTCCATTCCTTTGCATTCCAGTAAATTCCATTTGATGCCATTCCTTTCTATTCTATTCCATTCGACTCCATTCCATTCCATTCCATTCCATTCCATTCCGTCTGATTCCATTCCATTCTATTCCTTTCCATTCCATTCCATTCCTTTCCATACCGGTTATATCCCTTCCATACGAGTCCACTCTAGTCCAGTCCATTCTATTCGAGTCAATTCCACTCCAGCCCATTCCATTGAAGTCCTTTCAATTCCAGTCCATTCCATTCGTGTCGATTCCATTCCATTCCATTCCATTCCATTTGATATCTTTCCGGTACACTCAATTCCATTCTATTACTTTTGATTCCATTCAATTCTATTTCATCCGATACCATTCCTTTAGATTCCATTCCATTCGACTCCATTCCATTCTATTCATTCGAATTAATTACATTGAAATCCGTTACATATGAGTCTGTTCTATTCCTGTCCATTCCATTCCAGTCCATTCCATTCACTTTCATTCCATTCGATTCCATTCCATACAATTGCATTCCATTCGATACCATTCCTTCCGAATAAATTCCATTTGATATCATTATTTTCGAGTCCATTCTATTTGAGTCCATTCCATTCGAGTCCATTACATTTTGGTCCATTCCATGCCAGTCCATTCCATTCCATTCTATTCCATTCTAGACCATTCCTTTCAAGTCCATTCCATTCCATTCTAGACCATTCCTTTCAAGTCCATTCCATTCCATTCTAATCCATTTGATGCCATTCCATTCTATTTCTATTCCTTCAAGTCCATGCATTTCGAGTCCATTCCATTCCATTCCATTCGATGCCATTCCATTCGATTCTATTCCATTTGACTCCATTCCATTCCATAACATCCGATTACATTTCATTCTATTCCTTTCCATTTCATTCCATTCCATTATATTCGTTTCCATTCCATTCGAGTCCATTCTTCTCCAGACCCTACCATTCAAATGCATTCCATTCCAGTCTCTTCCATTCAAGTCCATTCCATTCCATTGCATTCCATTCGATATCTTTCCATTACACTAAAATTCATTCTATTCTTTCCATTCCTTTCAATTCCATTCTAGTCGACTCCATTCTATTCGATTCCATTCCATTCGAGTCCACTCCAATTGAGTCCATTCCATTCCATTTCATTCCATTCCGTTCCTTTCTATTCCAATCTGTTCGATTCCATTTTTTCCAATCCATTCCATTCGAGTGCATTCCATTCTAGTCCATTCCATTCGATTCCATTGCATTCAATTCCATTCCATTACTTTCCATTCCCCTCGATTCCACTCCATTCCATTCCATTGCACTCCATTCTATTCCACTCCATTGCATTCCATTCCATTCCACTCATTGCCATTCCATTTGATTCAATTCCATCCGACTGCATTCCTTTGCATTCCATCTCCAACCTATTCCATTACATTCTATTCCTTTCCATTCTGTTCCATTCCATTCCATTTCATTCCATTCGTTTCCATTCCATTGTAGTCCATTTCACTCCAGTCCATTCCATTCGAGTCCATTCCATTCCAGTCCATTCCAGTCGAGTCCATTCAGTTCCATTCCATTCCATTCGATATCTTTCCTTTATGCTCCATTCCATTCTATTCCTTTCGATACCGTTCAATTCCATTCCATTCGATTCCATTCCATTCGACTCCATTCCATTTGAGTACATTCTATTCCATTCCATTCCATTCCATTCCGTTCGATTCCAATCCCTTCCATTCCATTTTGCTCCAGTCCATTCCATTGGAGTCCGTTACATTCCCGTCCATTACATTCAATTCCATTCCATTTGATTCCATTGCACTCGATTTCATTCCAGTCGATTCCACTCCATTCCATTCTATTGCATTCCATTCTATTCCATTACATTGCATTCCATTCCATTTCATTTGATTACATTCCATTCGATTCAATTCCATTCGAATCAATTACATTGCAATCCATTACTTTCAAGTCCATTCTATTCCAGTCCATTCCATCGGATTCCATTATAGTCAATTCCGCTCCATAATATTCCATTCCATTCCATTCCATTCCATTCCATTCCATTCCATTCCATTCGTTTCCATTCCATTAGAGTCCATTCCACTCCAGTCCATTCCATTCGAGTCCATTCCATTCCAGTGCATTCCATTCGTTTGCAATCTATTTCATTTCACATCTTTCCATTACACTCCGTTCAATTCTATTCCTTCCGATTCCGTTATATTCCATTTCATTCGTTACCATTCCATTCGATTCCATTCCATTTGACTCCATTCCTTTAGAGTCCATTATGTTTGGTCCATTCCATTCCATTCCATTCGATGCCATTCCATTCGGGTCCATTCCATTCCTGTCCATTCCATTCGAGTACATTGCGTTCTATTCCATTTCATTCGATGCCATTACATTTGATTCTATTCCATTTGAATCCGTTCCGTTCCATTCCATTCAATCCGATTTCATTCCATTCTATTCCTTTCCGTTCCATTCCATTGCATTCCCTTCCATTCCACTCCATTCGTTTCCATTCCATTCGAGTCCATTCCACTGCAGTCCGTTCCATTCGAGTCCATTCCACTCCAGTCCATTCATTTTGAGTCCATTCTATTCCATTCCATTCCATTTGATATCTTTCCATTACACTCCATTCCATTCTATTCCTTTCAGTTCCATTCAATTCCATTCCATTCGATTCCATTTCACTTGGTTCTATTCCATTCGACTCCATTCCATTGGAGTCCATTCCATTCCATTCCATTCCATTCTGTTCCATTCCAAACGATTCCTTTACATTTTGTTCCAGTCCAATCCATTCAAATCCATTACATTCCTGTCCATTCCATTCATTTCCATTCCATTAAATTCCATTCCATTTGATGCCATTCAACTCGATTCTTCTTCGTTCCATTCCATTACGTTCCATTCTATTCCGTTGCTTTGCATTCCATTCCATTCCTTTGGATTACATTCCATTCGATTCCATTCCATTCAAATGAATAACATGGCAATCAATTTCATTCGAGTCCGTTCTATTCCAGTCCATTCCATCCGGTCCATTCCATTTGATTCCATTCAATTCGATTCCATTCCATTCGATTCCATTCCATTCTAATCAATTATATTGCAATCCATTACATCCCATTCCGTTTTATTCCAATCAATTCCATTCCGTTCCATTACATTTGATTCGTTACCAATCGATTCCATTCCATACAATTGCATTCCATTTGATTCCATTCTATTTCAATAAATTCCATTCGAGAACATTTCTTTTGAATCCATTCTATTTGAGTCCATTCCATTCCAATCTGTTATATTCAGGTCCATTCCAATCCATTCCATTGCAATGAATGCCATTCTATTCGATTCTCTTCCTTTTGAGTCCCTTCCATTCGAGTCCATTCCATTCCATTCCATTCCATTTGATGCCATTCCATTCGATTCTATTCCATTCGACTCCATTCCGTTCCATTCCATTCCATCCAATTCCATTCCATTCTATTCCTTTCTATTCCATTTCATTACATTCCATTCCTTTCCATTCCATTACTTTCCATTCCATTTGAGTCCATTCCACTCCAGTGCATTCCATTCGACTGCATTTCATTCCAGTCCGTTGCATGCAATGCCATTCCCATCGGATCCATTCCATTCGAGTTCATTCCATTCCGTTCCATCCGATTCCATTCCATTCTATTCCTTTCCATTCCATTCCATTGCATTCCAATCCATTCCATTCTTTTCCATTCCATTCGAATCCATTCCTCTAAAGTCCACTCCATTCGCGTCCATTCCATTCCAGTCCATTCCTTTAGATTCCATTCCATTTGATTCCATTCCATTTGTTTCCTTTCCACTCGTTTCCAATCCATTCCATTCCATTGCATTCTTTTCCATACCATTCCATTGCATTCCATTTCCTCGCATTTGATTAAATTCCTTTTGAATCCATTCCATTTGAGTCATTTAAATTGCAATCAACTACTTTCGTGTCTGTACTATTCCAGTAAATTTCATTCCGGTCCATTCCTTTTGATTCCATTCCATTCGATTCCATTTCATTTGAATCAATTACATTGCAATACATTACACTCGAGTCCATTCTATTCCAGTCCATTCCATTCTGGTCCATTAAATTCAGTTTCATTCCATACGATGCCATTCCATACTGTTGCATACGATTCGATTCCATTCTATTCGAATAGATTCCATTTTAGACCATTTCTTTCGAGTCCATTCTATTTGAGTCCATTCCATTCGTGTCCGATACATTTGGTTCCATTCCATTTCATTTCTTTCCATTCCATTCCATTCCATACGATTCCATTCCTTTCGATTCTATTCCGTTCAAGTCCATCACATTCGTGTCCATTCCATTCCATTCCAATCCATTCGATGCCATTCCATTGGATTCTATTCCTTTCGACTCCATTCCATTCCATTCCTTTCCAACCATTTCCATTCACTTCCATCCGTTTCAATTCCATTCTGTTCCTTTCCATTCCATTCCAGTCAATACCATTCCTTTGGGTTCCATTCCATTCGATGAAATTCCCTTCTATTCCATTCCATTCCATTCGATGCCATTCCATTCAAATCCATTCCATTCCATTCCGTTCCATCCGATTCCATTCCATTCTATTCCTTTCCATTCCATTACATTCCTTTCCATTCGATTCCATTCGTTTCCATTCCATTGAAGTCCACTACACTCCAGTCCATTCCATTCTTGTACATTCCATTCCAGTCCATTCCATTCAAATCCATTCCATTCCATTCCTTTCCATTCGATATCTTTCCATTACAATTCATTCCATTCTATTCCTTTCGATTCCACTCAATTACATTACAATCAATTCCATTCCATTCAGTTCCATTACACTTGTCTCCATTCCATTCATGTCCATTCCATTCCATTCAATTCCAATCTGTTCAATTCTAATTTTTTCCAGTACATTTTCTTTCGAATCCATTCCATTCCAGTCCATTCCATTCGATTCCATTCCTCTAGATTCCACTCCGTTCCATTCCATTGCATTTCATTACATTCCATTGCATTCCATTACATTCCATTTTATTACATTCCATTTGATTCCATTCCATTCAAATCAAGTACATTGCAATCGATTACATTCGAGCACGTTCTATTCCAGTCCATTCTATTCCAGTCCATTCCATTCAATTCCACTCCATTCGATTCCATTCCATTCTATCGCATTGCATTCGATTCCATTCTATTAAAATAATTTCCATTTGAGACCATTCGTTTCGAGTCCATTCTATTTGAGTCCATTCCATTCGTGTCCATTACATTTGGGTCCATTCGGTTCAATCCACTCCATTGCATTCCATGCCATTCCATTCTGTTCTATTCCATTCATGTCTATTCCGTTCGTGTCCATTCCATTCCATTCCATTCCACTCCGTTCCATTTGATGCCATTCCATTCGATTCTATTCCATTCCACCCCATTCCATTCTATTTCCTTCCATCCAATTCCATCCCATTCAATTCCTTTCCATTCCATTCCATTCCATTTGTTTCCATTCCATTCGTGTCCATTCCACTCCAGTCCATTCCAGTCGAGTCCATTCCATTCCAGTCCATTCCATTTGAGTCCAGTCCATTCCATTCGATATCTTTGCATTACACACCATTCCATTCTATTCCTTTCGATTCCATTCAATTCCATTCCATTCGGTTCCATTCCTTTCGAATCCATTCCTTTTGTGTCCATTCCATTCCGTTCGATTCCAATCCATTCGATTCCATTTTGTTCCAGTCCATGTCATTTGAGTCCAATCCATTCCAGTCCATTCCATTCGATTCCATTAAATTCGATTCCATTCCATACGATTTCATTCCACACAATTCCACTCCCTTCCATTCCATTGCATTCAATTATATTCCATCCAATTGCACTCCATTCCATTCCATTTGATTACATTCCATTCGATCCCATTGCATTTAAATCAATTATATTGCCATGTATTACATTCGAGTCCATTCTATTGAACTCCATTCCATTCCAGTACATTCCATTCGATTCCATTCCATTCGATTGCATTGCACACTATTGCATTCCATTTGATTCCATTCTATGCGATTAAATTCCATTTGAGACCATTCCTTTCGAGTCCATTGAATTTGATTCCATTCCATTCTAGTCCATTACATTGGAGTCCGTTCCATTCCATTCCATTCCGTTCCATTCGATTCCAATCCATTCGACTCCATTTTGTTCCAATCCATTCCATTCCATTCCATTCTATTCGATTCCTTTCAATTCGATTCCATTCAACTCGATTCCAGTCCTTTCCATTCCATTGCATTCCACTCTATTCCATTGCATTGCATTTAATGCCATTCCATTTAATTATATTCCATTTGATTCCACTCCATTCGAATCAATTACATTGCAATCCATTACTTTCGATTCCGTTCTATTCCAGTCCAGTGCATTCCGGTCCATTACATTCGATTCCATTCCATTTGATTCAATTCCATACTATTGCATTCGATTCACATCCATTCTATTTGAATAAATTCCATTTGAGACCATTCCTTTCTTTTCCATTGTATTTGAATCCATTCCATTCGAGTCCATTCCATTTGGGTCCATTCCATTCCATTCGATACCATTCGATGCCATTCCAAATGATTCTATTCCATGCGAGTCCATTCCATTCGTGTCCATTCCATTCCATTGCATTCCATTCCAATCCATACGATGCCATTTAATTCCATTTTATTCCATTCGACTCCATTCCATTCCATTCCGTACCATCTGATTCCATTCCATTCTATTCCATTCCATTCCATTCCTTTCCATTCCATTCCATTCCATCCGATTCCATTCCATTCTATTCCATTCCATTCCATTCCTTTCAATTCCATTCGAGTACCTTCCATTTTATTCCATTCCATTCGATATATTTCAATTACACCTAAATCCATTCTATTCCTTTCAATTCCATTTAATTCCATTCCATTCGATTCCATTCCATTCGGTTCCATTCCATTCGACTTCATTCGATTTGAGTCCATTCCATTCCAGTCCATCCCTTTACGTTCCATTCGATTCCAATCCATTCGATTCCACTTTGTTCCAGTACATTCCATTGCATTCCATTCCATTCAATTCCATTCCCTTTGATTGCATTCCATTTGATTACATTCCATTCAATTCCATTCTACTTGATTCCACTCTATTCCATTCCGTTGCATTCCATTACATTCCATTCCATTGTTTACATTTCCATTCAATTTGATAACCTTCCATTCGATTCCATTTCATTCAAATCAATTACATTGCAATCCAATACATTCGAGTCCATTCTATTCCAGTCCATTTCATTCCTGTTCAATCCATTCGATTCTATTCCTTTCGATTCCATTACATACTGTTGCATTCATTTCGATTCCATTACATTCCAATAAATTCCATTCGAGACCACACTTTCGAGTCCAATCTATTTAAGTCCATTTCATTGGAGTCCATTATATTTGATTACATTACATTCCACTCCATTCGATTCCATTCCTTTTCATTCTATGCCATTTCATTCGATTCTCCTCCATTCTTCTCTATTCCATTCCATTTCATTCCATCCGATTCCATTCCATTCTACTCCTTTCCATTCGATTGATTCCATTCCATTTGTTTCCATTCTATTTGAGTCCATTCCATTCAGGTCCATTTCTTTCCATTCCATTCGATCCCATTCCAATCGATTCTATGCGATTTGACTCCATTCCATTCCATTCCGTTCCATCCGATTCCTTTCTATTCTATTCCTTTCAATTTCATTTCATTCCATTCCATTCCATTCCAGTCCAGTCCATTCCATTTGAGTCAATCTATTGCATTCCATTCCATTCGATATCTTTCCATTACACCCAATTCCATTCTATTCCTTTTGATTCCATTCAATTCCATTCCATTCGAATCCATTCCATTCGGTTCTATTCCATTAGACTCCATTCCATTTCAGTCCATTCCATTCCATTCAATCCCATTCCATTCCATTCGATTCCAATCCGTTCTTTTCCATTTTGTTCCAGTCCATTTCATTCGAGTCCATTCAATTCCATTCCATTCCATACCGTTCAATGCCATTCCATACAATTCTATTCCATTCGACTCCATTCCATTCCATTCAGTTCCATCCGATTTCATTCCATTCTATTCCCTTTCATTAAATTCCATTCCAATCCATGCCATTCGTTTCCTTTCCTTTGGAGTTCATTCGAATCCAGTCCATTCCAATCGAGTCCATTCCGTTCCCGTCCATTACATTCGATTACATTCCATTCGATTGCATTCTATACTTTTGCATTCCATTCGATTCCAATCTGTTCCAATAATTTCCATTCGAGACCATTCCTTTCATGTCCATTCTATTTGAGTCCATTCCATTCGAGTCCATTACTTTTGGGTACATTCCATTCCATTCCGTTCCCTTCGATTCCAATCCATTCGATTCCATTTTTTTCCAGTCCATTCGATTCGAATTCATTCCATTCCAGTCCATTCAATGACTTTCAAATCGATTCTATTCCATTTGACTCCATTCCATTCGATTCCGTTGCATCCGATTCCATTTCATTCTAATCCTTTCCGTTCCATTCCATTCCATTCCTTTCCATTCCATTCCATTCGCTTCCATTGCATTCGAGTCCATTCCACTGCAGTCCATTCCATTCAAGTACATTCCATTCTAGTCCATTCCTTTCGAGTCCATTCTGTTCCATTCCATTCAATATTTTTCCATCACAGTACTTTCCATTCTATTCCTCTCGATTCCATTCAATTCCATTCCATTCGATTCCATTGCAATAGATTCCATTCTATTCGACACCATTCCATTCGAGTCCATTCCATTCCATTCCATTCCATTCAATTTGTTAGCTTTCCATTACACTCCATTCATTCTATTCCTTTTGATTCCATTGAATTCCATTCCATTCAATTCCATTCCATTCGACTCCATTTCATTCGAGTCCCTTCGAATCCGTTCAATTCCATTCCATTCAATTCCAATCCGTTCGATTCCATTTTGTTCCTGTCCATTCCCTTCGATTCCATTCCATTCGATTCCATTCTACTCGATTCCAATCTTGTCCATTCCGTTGCATTCCATTCTATTCCATTCCATTGCATTGCATTCCATTCCATTTGATTACATTCCATTATATTCCATTCCATTCATTTCAATTACATAGCAATCCGTTACATTGGAGTCCGTTCTATTCCAGTCCATTCCATTGTGGTCCTTTCCATTCAATTCCATTCCATTCGATTCCATTACATACTACTGTATTCCATTCGATTACATTCTATTTGATTATATTCCATATGCAACCATTCCGCTTGAGTCCATTCTATTTGAGTTCATTCCATTCGAGTCCATTACATTCGGGTCCATTCCATTCCATGCCATCCCATTCCATTCCACTCCACTCGATTCCATTACATTTGATTATATTCAATTCGAGTCCGTTCCATTTGAGTACATTCCATTGCATTCCATTCCAGTCCATTCCATGTGATGCCATTCCATTCGATGACACTCCTGTCCTCTCCATTCTATTCTGTTCCATTCTATTCCAATCCGTTGGGTTCCATTTTGTGGCAGTCCATTCTATTCGAGTCCATTACATTCCACTCCATTCCATTCAATTCCATTCCATTCGATTCCATTTCATTCGATTCCATTCCACTTGATTCCACTCCGTTACATTCCATTGCAATTCATTCTATTCCATTCCATTGCATTCCCTTCCATTCCATTTGATTACATTCCATTCGATTCCATTCCTTTTGAAACAAATACATTGCAATCCATTCCATTCGAGTCCATTCTATCCCAGTCCACTCCATTCCAGTCCATTCCATTTGATTCCATTCCATTTGATGCCCCTCCATACTATTGTATTTCATTCAATTCCATTCTATTCAAATAAATTCCATTCGAGACCATTCCTTTCGAGTCCATTGTGTTTGATTCCATTCCATTCAAGTCCATTACATTTGGGTCCCTTCCATTCCATTCCATTGCATTCGAATCCATTCCATTCCATTCCATTCCATTCCATTCGATGTCATTCCATTGTATTCTATTCCATTAGAGTCCATTCCATTCGATTCCATTCTATTTCATTCCATTCCACTCCATTCCATTCTATGCCATTCCATTAGATTCTATTCCATTCCACTCCATTCCATTCCATTCCATTCCATTCCATTCTATTCCTTTACATTCCATTCCATTCCTTTCTTTTCCATTCCTTTCTTTTCCATTCCATTTAATCCATTCCACTCCAGTACATTCCATTTGAGTCCATTCCATTCCAGTCCAATCCGTTCGAGTCCATTCAATTCCATTCAATTTGATATCATTCCATTACACTCCATTCCATTCTATTCCTTTCTATTCCATTCATTTCCATTCCAATCAATTCCGTTCCATTCTGTTCAATCCCATTCGACTCCACTCCATTCTGTTCCATTCCATTCGAGTCCATTCCATTCCAGTCCATTCCATGCCATTCTATTCCTTTCCGTTCAATTCGATTCCATTTTGTTCCAGTCTATTTCATTCGAGTGCATTCCATTTCAGTATATTCCATTTGATTCCACCCCATTCAATTCCATTCCATTCGATTCTATTCCACCCGATTCCACTCTGTTCCGTTCCGTTCAATTCCATTCTATTCCATTCCATTGCATTCCATTCCATTCCACTTGATTTCATTCCTGTTGATTCCAATCCATTTGAATCAATTACATAGCAATTCATTACATTCGAGTCCATTCTATTCCAGTCTATTCCATTCCGGTCCATTTCATTCTATTACATACTATTTGATTCCATTCCATACTATTGCATTCCATTCGAATCCATTCTATCTGAAAAAATTCCATTCGAGACCATTCCTTCTGAGTCCATTCTGTTTGAGTCCATTCCATTAGAGTCCATTACATTTGGGTCCATTCCATTCCAGTCCTTTCCATTCGATTCCATTCCATTCGATTCAATTCAATTCAATTCCATTTCACCCCATTCCAATTCGTTCTTTCCATTGAATTCCATTCTATTCCATTTTGTTACATTCCATTCTGTTCATTTCCATTGCATTCCTTTCCATTCCATTTGATTACATTCCTTTTGATTACATTCCATTCGAATCTATTAAATTGCAATCCATTACATTCAAGTCCATTCTATTCCAGTCCATTCCATTCCGGTCTATTCCATTCTGTTCCATTTCATTCAATTCCATTCCGTACTATTGCATTCCATTTAATTCCATTATGTACGAATAAATTCCAAAGGAGACCATTTTTTTCGAGTCCATTCTATTTGAGTCCATTCCATTGCATACCATTCCATTCAATGCCATTCCATTCTTTTCTATTACATTCGAGTCTATTGCATTCGAGTCCATTCCATTCAATTTGATGCCATTCTTCTCAGTTCTATTCCATTCGATTTCATTCCATTCAATTTCTTTCCATCTGATTCCATTCCATTCTATTCCTTACCATTCCATTCCATTCCATTGCATTCCATTCCATTCCATTCGTTTGCCTTCCATGTCATTCAATTCCATTCCATTGGAATCAATTATATTGCAATCCATTACATTTGAATCCTTTCTATTCCAGTCCATTCCATTCCGGTCCATTCCTTTTGATTCCATTCCATTAGATTCCATTCCATACTATTGCATTCCATTCGATTCCATTCCTTTCGAATAATTACCATTCGAGATCATTGCTTTTGAGTCCATTTTATTTGAGTCCATTCCATTCGAGTCCATTACATTTTGGTCCGTTCCATTCCATTCCATTCCTTTCCGTTCCATTGGATACCATTCCATTCGATTCTATTCCATTCAAGTCCATTCGATTTGAGTGCATTCCATTCCACATTCCATTCTTAGCCATTTCTTTCAACTCTATGACATTCGACTCCATTCTATTCCATTCCGTTCCATCTGATTCCATTCCATTCTATTCCATTCCGTTCCATTCCCTTCCATTCCATTCGTTTCCACTACATTCGAGTCCATTCCACTCCAGTCCATTCCATTCCAGTCCATTCCATTCCATTCCGTTCCATTCTATTCTATTCCGTTCTTTTCCATTTTGTTCCAGTCAATTCCATTCGAGTCCATTCCATTCCAGTCCATTCCATTTGATTCCATTCCATTCAATTCCATTCCACTCGATTCCGCTCCATTCCATTCCATTGCATTCAATTTTATTCCATTTCTTTTCATTCAATTCCATTCAATTTGATTACATTGCATTCAATTCCATTCCGTTCAAATCAATTACACTGCTGTCCATTACGTTCGAGTCTGTTCTATTCCAGTCCATTCCATTTTGGTCCATTCCATTCAATTCCATTCCATTCGATTCGATTCCATTTGAATCAATTACATTGCAATCCACTACATTCGACTCAGTTCTGTTCCACTCCATTCCATTCCAGTGCAATCCATTCGATTTCATTACATTCGATTCCATTTGACACTATTGTATTCCTTTTGATTCCATTCTATTCGAATAAATTCCATTCGAGACCATTTCTTTTGGTTCCTTTCTATTTGAGTCCATTCCCTTCATGTCCATTTCATTTGGGTCCATTCCTTTCCATTCCATTCCATTCCATTCAATGCCATTCCATTCGATTCTATTCCATTCGAGTCCATTCCATTCGAGTCCATTCCATTCAATTCTATTCCTTTCGACTCCATTCCATTCCATTCCGGTCGATCTGATTCCATTCCATTCTATTCCTTTCCATTCCATTCCATTCCATTCGTTTCCATTACTTTCGAGTACAATCCACTCCAGTGCATTCCATTCGAGTCCATTCCATTCCAGTCCATTCCATTTGATGCCATTCCACCCGATTCCACTACATTCCATTCCCTTGCTTTGCATTCTATTCCATTCCATTGCATTGCATTCCATTCCATTGGATTACATTCCATTTGAATCTATTCCATTCTAATCAAATACTTTGTAATCCATTACATTCGAGTCCATTCTATTCTATTAGTACCCTGAAATATTTACTCCTCCACTTCGTTACCCGCTGCCTCTCCAGTATCCCTTCCCACAGTCCCAGAGCCACCTCTGCTTAATGAGGAGGTTAGGACAGATGTCCCTTTCCACCCGATGCCATCTCCCAGGTTGCAGCCTCCTCATTGGGAAGAGGACTACCATGGCTAGTTGTGACATGGGTAGCTCTGGCCTCCAGGACTTCTCCCGGGGACCTCTGCTCAGGACATGGCATGGACAGAGGTGAGGTTACCATAAACTTCCTCGGAAATGACTACAAATCAGCTCAGACCATTCCAGCACCTAACACGCTGACAGCACAGGGTGGACCCACAGAAGGGGAAGGGCTAGGGCGTCCAGGGCCACAAGGGTCCCCACTCCCTGAGCCCTTGAGCACAGCCATCCAGATGTAAAGGACAATATGGGGTTTCCAAGGATTCCCAAGCCTGGGCTCTAGAGGTGAGTTCTAGCAAGGCCTCCAGATATCATCCCCATACATCCCCTCATCCTGTCTCACATATTGTAAAAACAAGGAAACTGAGGCTTAGAGAGGGAAGGGGCTTGAGCAGTCTCCCAGGCAGTTAGAGACAGAGCCCAAGTTAGATTCCATGTTTCTCTCAATTTTTTCCCCTAGGTCTGTTTCTGACTAGCTATGTGACCTTGGAAGAGTCGCTCCACCTCTCTGGGCATTGAAGGTTTACAACTTCTGACATGTTCATTCCAGAGGGTTATCAGGACCTGACAGCACTTCACCTAAACAAAACACTCTACTGTCTACTAATATTCGTATATCTCTTTTCTTCTCTGACCTCTGTAATAGCCCTATGAGGCTGTGAAAGTTGGTGCTTGTGTCCTATTACGCAGATGCAAATACTGGACTCAGAAAGACAAAGATCACACAGAAAGTTTGGGACAGGACTGGAACTAGAACCCAGGTCTCCCAAAGAATGGTGCTTGCCATCACTAAGGCCAGGAATATATTAAGACACCAAAATATGGAGAGTTGCTCAATGCATGCCACCAAGGTTAGAGCTGACCAACCCCAGAATGTTCAGCAGTTCTGGGACCCTAGAGTGGAGGACTCAAGGCAGAGGGTGATGCCTAAGTCACACACATCTGAACTCCAATCCAAACTCCACTACGCAGCTGTGTGACCCCACTTTATGAGGCTCAGCGTTCTCTACTACAAAATGAAACTATAGAAGGTACCAAAAAGCTCAGGATGAGGGGAGAACTGCACCCTGAATGCAGGACTACCAGGCAGGTGGTAAGCACTCATTAGCTTTTGTTTCAAGCACACAAATCATATGTTGTTTTTCATCATGTCTCCCCATGGTGTCTGGTCTATGGCTCCAGAACCAGGAGGCTTCTGATCAATCCTTATGCTAAATGATAGACAGATAGATGGGTGGGTGGTTAGACAAATAAATGGATGGATGCATGGATTGATAGATTGATGCTGGGATGAATGGATGGATGAATAGATGGATGAATGGATAAATGAATGGATAGGTGCTCAGAAGACAGAATAAAACAGGGATTCAAAATGAAAATAAAAAGATGATTGAAGGATGGGGCTGATACATGGAAGAGAGGTACAAGATCCTGCCCTTCGGGCTCCACTCAGCCCCACAACCACATACCTTGGGGTAGCACTGGCACATGCTCCAGATTATACCCCTGGACACCATGATGCTGCCGCAGAAGGTTTCATTGAACTGGGGCCCATCATGGCTCAGGAGGAATGTACTGAGAGTCAGAAGACCCATACATTGAAGCTGAAGCAGAAGGTCTTCTCATCTGCCAAGGTCTCCTCATATGCCATGGCTGCCAGCCATGCCCTGGCCTGTGCACCCCTGCCAGAAGGAACCCGTGCCATCCAGCATAAACATCCAGACAGGCTCACAGGAAGAGATGAAGCTCTTGGATCACTGCAAATCAAAGTTTAAAGTTAAAGGAAGGGCAAGACCCCTTCAGCTGCAGGCCTATTCCCTGGACCCAGCAATTCAGCAGGGCTGAAGGCAGCATGCTTCGGTAGACCAATGAACCCACTCCCCACCCTCTCTCCTTCCCTTGGGGCCCAGAAGGCCTGGAGTGCATGTGTGAATATGGGTGAGGGAGCATGCAAAGGAGGGAGAAGGGGAGGTTACAGGGGCTGGGCCCTAGACAAGCCTGTGACAAAACCTTCTTTGCCTACTTTGGGGCTGAACTGAGGAAGCAGCTGATCCCACACCTTCTAGCCCCGGGAAGCAGGGTAAAATTTTGCAGCCAAAATATGTTAAAATGCTGCCGGAGGATTTCAGGATCCCACTGCCCAGCATTTCAGGATCCTAGATTTTAGACCCTTCAAGGATCCTGGTCATTTTAGACCCTTCAATGGTCCTGGTCATTACCTCTTTCCTCCTGCCCAGCATATGCTCACACCAGCCCCTCTGCATCATAGTGCTTCCCACAGATCCTTTTTCTTACATTTTTTTAGAGAAGGTAAGCTCAGAGGGACTTTTAATCCATCCAGGATTCAGGCATGATGGCCCATATGTACTGGATGGTGACGATGCACATGGCACCATTCTAAGCATGTTACAGTGATTAACTCACTTAAGGGACTCCATGAGGCTGGTATTGCTATACCCACTGTGCAGAGGACGCTGAGCACAGACAAGTAACTTGCCCAAGGTCACACAGCTGGAAACTGTAGAGAAGCTGGAATGTGAACCCAGAAGCTGTGCCCGTGGCCACAGGGCAATCCTGCTTAAGGGCACCACGAGGTTATGGGTGAGAGCACTGATGGCAATGGAGGCTGCCTGGGTTTAGATCCTGGCTCCTGTACTGCGGGGCAGCATGGTCTTGATCACATTACCTGCCAGTGTCTGTTTCCTCCTCTGTAAAATGGGGAAAATAACGGTACCTCCCAGTATTGGCGCTATCTCCAGGCCTAGGTGTCCTGGATCCTTCTGCCCCCTTTACACTCTGTGCAGCATCCAGACCTGCTTGTAATGAGCTCCTCTACTCCACCAAAGCTCTGGTAAATTAATATCCCTGTGGAGTATAAGTGACTGACAGTAACTTCCTCAATCTCCTTGCAGCCTAATCTAAGAAGATGCCTTCTAAAGAATAGCATTCTAATGTGAAATCTTTGTTCTGTGAAAGGCCAATGGAAGAAATCAGATTCCTTTGCAAGGTTACAGAAAAAACAAGACAATGAGTATCTCTAAGAGAGAATGTTCACTTGGAGTGTCGATGGGGTTAGGTGGCTGATACAGGATGAAAGGCTTTCATTTGGCTCCCTGACTTGATGGGTTTGGGGATTTCTCTGGTCCTGATCATTACCTCTTTCCTCCTGCCCAGCATGTGCTCACACCAGCCCCTCTGCCTCATAGTCCTTCTTACATTTTTTTATACAAGGTAAGCTCAGAGGGACTTTTAATATGCCAAACGATGTTAATAAAACACAACTCAAAGACAAGTGCAAACATGCTTTCAACCAACATTAATGAGGAAACAAGACAGAAATTCTTTTTCTTTTTATATTTTATTTTTGAGATGGAATCTCGCTCTGTCGCCCAAGCTGGAGTGCAGTGGCATGATCTCCACTCACCACAAGCTCCTCCTCCTGGGTACAGGCCATTCTCCTGCCTCAGACTTCTGAGTAGCTGGGACTAAAGGCACCTTCAACCACGCCCGGCTAATTTTTTGTATTATAGTAGAGATGGGGTTTCACCGTGTTAGCCAGGATGGTCTCGATCTCCTGATCTCATGATATGCCTGCCTCAGCCTCCCAAAGTGCTGGGATTACAGGTTGAGCCACTGAGCCTGGCCCTGTTTGTTCTTTTACATAAAATTTACAATGTATTTGCCATGATTTAGAAATAAATTTAATTGGAATTTTATTGAAATTGTATGAGACATGATTTAGTCTAAGATGAACACGCAACATTATTATTACTGTTTCCATCCAGCTATGGCATATTTCTTTGTTTTCTCTAGATGTCTTTTATATCGCTCAATAAAATTTGTGGCTCTGGTACATTTCCTAATAATCATTCATTATATTTCATTATTTCTAATTATTATAATGGATTGCATGTACATTTACTATGTACCAGATATTATGCCATATATTCATTATCTCAATTCATAAAACAATCATGTGATTTAGTTGGTGTTATTACTAGATTATTAACATTGTACAAGTAAAGAAAATAAAGACAAAAGAAAAGAGACTCAGCAAAATCAAACCAATAAAGACTTAATTAGAATTGTTGGGCATATAATGAAAATTTAATACAACTCAATGAAAGAAAAAAAAAATTTTTTTAAAAATGACCAAGAAGATTTGAGAAGGAGCCAAACAGAAATTCCAGAAATAAAAACATAATTGTTGAAATTGAAGACAGATTTGACAGCAGATTACATATAATTGAAAAGGAAAATGTAAACTGGAAGATAGGCTGAAGAAATTGCTCAGAAGGAAGCCCAAAGAAGTAAAAAATAAGAAAGAAACAAGAGACATGGAAGACAAGAGTGATAAGACATTACAACTAACAGGATTTCAGAAGTAGAACAATAAACTCTTAGAAAGGTTTTGTAAAAAAGATAATGGCTTGGAATTTTCCCAAAGTGATGAAAAATTCCACCCTTCATATTCAGGAAGCTCAAGTTGGACAGATTTAAAAGGAAAAAAAATACCTAAATGTATCATCATAAAAATAACGGAACCCTGAAGAAAAGAATACATTGAAAACAACCAGAGAAAAAATTCACATTATCCATGAAAGAATATGGATTTAGACCAAGAGCTAATGTCTTAAAATGGAAGCAAGAAGACAATGTACTAAGAAAAAATAATCACATATGAAATTAATATATCTTGTAATAAACAGGCCAAATATAAGACAATATTTAAGTCATAAAAACCAAACAAATACTAAATTTGCTAACTAAGAGACCTTCACTAAAGGAAATTCTAAGAGATGTTTTTCAGTAGAAGGGTGTTCCCCTAGATGGAAGACATGAGTTGCGAGAAGAAATGGTGAGTACGTAAGAAGACAAATAATGTGAGTAAATATAAATGAACACTGACTATACAACATGTAGTTTCCAGTGGATTAAGAATAAGATGAGAAGCAAAACCATAAAACTTCTAAAGATAATATAGTAAAACTACCTTAATAGCCCCAGTGGGTTTTCATATAAAACCCAAACAAATTCTGTTCACCAAAAAAAAAAAAAAAAAAAAAAAAAACACTATCAGGATCAAAGACCCAAATATAAGGGGTAAAACTATAAAATTTGTAGAAGAAAACATAGGTATAAATCTGTTACCGTGAATTAGGCAATGGGTCTTAGATACAACACTAAATGCAAGAGTGACAAAAGGAAAAACAAACTGGACTTTAACAAAATTCAAAACTTTTGTACTTCAGAGGATACCAACAGGAAAGTGAAAAGAACCCACAGAATGCGAGAAAATATCTACTAAGTCATACATCTGATGAGGAACTAATGTCCAGAATATATAAAGAATTCTTAGAATAACAAAAAGACAACCCGATTAAATGAGCAAACAATCTAAATGAACATTTCTCTAAAAAGATATACAAATGGCCAATCAGCACATGAAAAGACTCTCAACATCATTAGTCATTAAGGATATGCAAATGAAAACTAGATACCACTTCACATCTACAAGGATGGCTATATTTTTTTTTAAAAGGAAAATAACAGATGTTGGCAAGGAGGTAGGAAAAAATGGAACCTCCATACACTGCTGGTAATAATATAAAATGGTACAGAGACTTTGGAAAACAGTTTTGAAGTTTTTCAAAAATTTAAACATAGATTTACCATATGCCCACTACCAGATATATAAAGAAAATTGTAAAAATACCTCCACACAAAAACGAGTACATGAATCTCATCACAGTGCATTATTAATCGTAGTCAAAAAATGAACACAACTCAAATATCCATCAACTAATGAATAGATAAACAAAACATAGTATACTCTTGCAATGGGATTCAGGCATATAAAGCAATGAAGTGCTGACACAAGATACAACATGGATGAATCAGGACATGCTAAATAAATGAAGCCAAACACAAAAGGTCACATATGATTCTCGTTTTTTTTTGATATTTGGCATATGCTAGTCCATAGAGACAGAGAATAGACTAGTGGTTGCCAGGGACTGGGAAAATGGGGAAATGGGGAGTAACTGCTAGTAATATATTAAAATATTAAATCTAACAAATATGTAGGTAGACTGATGGAGAAAAATACAGAAAACACACAAAAAACCAATTATCTGGAATGTGAAGCTTACAAAACGTCAGCAGTTATAGATTTTAAATAAGCAATGACTTTGAGTTCAACCATGATGGGGTATATTGAAAAGAATCAGAAAAAAAGAAAAAGAAAACTTATAAAGCTATGTACAAAACGTTAAGCACTATTAAAGTCTTCCAATTCTACCAGTTACGGAGTTAGAAACAAAACGAAACACAACAAAACCTAAAAACCTGGATTAAATGGACTACCGAGGGCACCGGCAATGCAACCAAGCAGGTAGGACACGGGTGCTACATTCTCTTTGTCAGAACACAAAGCATTCATACACTCCCGAGGCGGGAGAGCTGGACCAGGAGCGCCCCTCGGCGCTGCCCTTGCCAGGACGCCAGTGGAGCTGGCGGCCGAGTCTGCCGCTCCCGCCCTCAGAGCAGCGGCGGCGGGGGTAAAAAGCTGCGGCAGCAAAAAGCGGCGGCGGCGGCGGGGGAAAAAGGCACGGCGGAGGGGGCAAAAAGGCGCGGCGGCGGGGGCAAAAAGGCGCGGCAGCAGGGGAAAAAGGCGCGGCAGCGCGGGCAAAAAGCCCCGGGAGTGGGGGCAAAAAACCACAAAAAGCCGCAGCGGCGGGGGGAAAAAGCCACGGCGGCAAAAAGCAGCGGGAGCAGGGGCAAAAAAACACAAAAAGCAGCGGCGGCGGGCGCCAAAAGTCGCGGCATTGGGGGAAAAAGCCATGGCGGCAGGGGGCAAAAAGCCCGAGCAGCAAAAAGCCTCGTCGGCGGGGACAGAAAACCGCGGCGGCGGGGAGCAAAAAGCCGCGGCGGTGAGCGCAAAAAGCCGCGGCAGCGGGGGCGAAAAGCCACAAAAAGCAGCGGCGGCGGGGGCAAAAAGCCTCAGCGGCAGGGGCAGAAAATCACAACGGCCGGGGCAGAAAGCCACGGCGATGGGGAGCAAAAAGCCGCGGCGGCGGGCGCAAAAATCCGCGGCGGCAGGGACAAAAAGGGGCGGCGGCGGGCAGCAAAAGCCGAAGTGGCGGGGCGCAAAAATCCGCGGGGGTGAAAAGACGCAAAAAGCAGCGGCGGCGGGGCAAAAAGCCGCGGCAGCGGGGACAAAAAAGCGGCGGCCGGGGTAAAAAGCCGCGGGGGCGAAAAGCCGCAAAAAGCAGCGGCGGCGGGGGCAAAAAGCCCGAGCAGCAAAAAGCCTCGGCAGCGGGGGCAGAAAACCGCGGCGGCGGGGAGCAAAAAGCCGCGGCGGTGGGCGCGAAAAGCCGCGGGGGCGGGGGCGAAAAGCCGCGGGGGCGGGGGCGAAAAGCCGAAAAAAGCAGCGGCGGCGGTGGCAAAAAGCAGCGGCGGCGGTGGCAAAAAGCCTCGGCGGCGGGGGCAGAAACGCGCGGCGGCGGGGGCAAAAAGCAGCGGCGGCGGGGAGCAAAAAGCCGCGGCGGCGGTGGCCAAAAGTCGCTGGGGCAAAAAGCAGCGGGAGCGGGGGCAAAAAAAAAACACAAAAAGCCGCGACGGCGGGGGCCAAAAGCCGCGGCGGCAAAAAGCTGTGGCAACGGGGGCAGAAAGCCGCGGCGGCGGGGGAAAAAGCAGGGGCGGCAAAAAGCCGCGGCGGCGGGGCGCAAAAAGTCGCAGCGGCGGAGACAAAAAGCGGAGGCGGCGAGAAGCAAAAAGCCGCGTTGGCAAAACCCGCGGCGGCGGGCGCAAAAAGCACCGGCGGCCAAAACCCGCGGCGGGGGGAGCAAAAACCGCGGTGGCGGGGGCCAAAAGCCGCAAGAAGCCGCGGCGGCGGGGGCCAAAATCCGCGGCGGAAAAAGTCGCGGGGTGGGGGTGGCAAAAAGCCGCGGCGGCGGGGGCAAAAAGTTGCAAAAATCTGCGGCGGCAACGGCAAAAACCGTGGCTTCGGGGGTAAAAAGCCATAGCGGCAAAAAGCGGCGGAGGCGGGGGCAGAAAGCCGCGGCGGCGGGGCAAAAAGCAGGGGCGGCAAAAAGCCTCGGCGGCGGGGACCAAAAGCCGCGGCGGTGGGTCAAAAAGCCACAGCGGCAAAAAGCTGTGGCGACGGGGGCAGATAGCTGCGGCGGTGGGGGCAAAAAGCTGCAGCCGCAGGGGAAAAAGCCGCGGCGGCAGGGGCAAAAAGCAGGGGCAGCGGGGGCAACAAGCCGCGGCGGCAAAAAGCTGCGGCGGTGGGGGCAAAAAGCAGCGGCGATGGGGGTAAAAGCCAGAGCGACGGGGGCAACAAGCCCTGGCAGCAGGGGCAAACAGCGGCGGCGGCAAAAATCCGCAGCGGTGGGGGCAAACAGCCGCGGCGGGGGTGACAAAAAGCCGCGGTGGCGGGGGCAGAAAGCAGCGGTGGCGGGGGCAAAAAGCCACAAAAACCTGCTGTGGCCGGGACAAAACAGTGGAAATGGGGTGAAGGCCAGCACAGCTTGGCATTCCTGGAGTGTGATGTGGAAGGAAAAGTGCAGCGGAAGACAAAGATGTAAGTAGGCTTGACTCAGTGCAGCTAAGAACACAGATGTTATCTTGATGTTAGTCTATCAGCTAATTTTTTGTATTTTAGTAGAGAAGGGGTTTTACCACGTTGGCCAGGATGGTCTCGATCTCCTGACCTCATGATCCACGCACCTCAGCCTCCAAAAGTGATGGGATTAGAGGCATGAGCCACAAAGTGCTCAAAAAATCTATTAATTAACAAATGTGTATGTAGCCGTCTTTAATCTACCATGTCCATTAGCAGATAAATACTATAAGCAAAATAACAACAATGAAAGAAACATAGAGTAGATACTCTGATTTATTTAATAAAAATTTGAAAATAGACCAAATTACTGTATGATAAAAAAAAATCTGTTACTATTGAGGATGAGGGTTAGTGTTTGGAAAGGGGCAGGAGAAGTATCACTTTTCAGTAATTGTCTATTTTCATACATGGTTATAAGCAAATACATGTGTTTCATTAATCAAGCTATCCATATTTAATCATTGTACTTTTCTGTATGTGTGATATATGTCAATAAAATATATACAGCAAAAATGGACAAAACCACAAGAAGACATACACAAATGTTAAACCTAGAGAGAAATTTGAATATAAGTAAGTCTCTGAGTGACTGGTAGAACAAACCGAAAAATAATCAGGATGGAGAGGTTTGGAACAGCATGATTAGCAAAATTGACATATCTGTCTTTTAATATAGGCAGAAACATAGATAAAAAAAGACTTGTCTCAGAGTATGATTTCTGAAAATAGTGGAATCGAGTTTGAATCTAGTAAGTAAATATAAATAAATGTCTTAAAACTCCTCTTATGTTAACTAATTAAGAAATATTGTAATAGACATTAGAAAATATTTTAATAAATTGAGTGGATTTCACACGCTAAGGAAAAGATCTTACTTGTATTTGATAGTTCAATTACATACATATATACCTATAGGTAGTTTAAAATATTTCTAATAATCTTATATACTTTTAATTTTTTTTTTAGCTGTCAAACATTTTTATTCTACATTAAGACATACATTTTATATTATTGCCCAGCACACACATAAATATATGTGTACATAACTAATTTTAAAAATTCTGAAACAATACTTACACTTAATTCCTGAAATGAATATTTTCTACTCTATTTACTTTTTTATTTTTTTTTATTTTATTTTTATTTTATTTTTTTATTATACTTTAAGTTTTAGGGTACGTGTGCACATTGTGCAGGTTGGTTACATATGTATACATGTGCCATGCTGGTGCGCTGCACCCACTAACTCGTCATCTGGCATTGGGTATATCTCCCAATGCTATCCCTCCCCCATCCCCCCACCCCACCACAGTCCCCAGAGTGTGATATTCCCCTTCTGGTGTCCATGTGATCTCATTGTTCAATTCCCACCTATGAGTGAGAATATGCGGTGTTTGGTTTTTTGTTCTTGTGATAGTTTACTGAGAATGATGATTTCCAGTTTCATCCATGTCCCTACAAAGGACATGAACTCATCAATTTTTATGGCTGCATAGTATTCCATGGTGTATATGTGACACATTTTCTTAATCCAGTCTATCATTGTTGGACATTTGGGTTGGCTCCAAGTCTTTGCTATTGTGAATAATGCCACAATAAACATACGTGTGCATGTGTCTTTATAGCAGCATGATTTATAGTCCTTTGGGTATATACCCAGTAATGGGATGGCTGGGTCAAATGGTATTTCTAGTTCTAGATCCCTGAGGAATCGCCACACTGACTTCCACAATGGTTGAACTAGCTTACAGTCCCACCAACAGTGTAAAAGTGTACCTATTTCTCCACATCCTCTCCAGCATCTGTTGTTTCCTGACTTTTTAATGATTGCCATTCTAACTGGTGTGAGATGGTATCTCACTGTGGTTTTGATTTGCATTTCTCTGATGGCCAGTGATGATGAGCATTTTTTCATGTGTTTTTTGGCTGCATAAATGTCTTCTTTTGAGAAGTGTCTGTTCATGTCCTTCCCTCACTTTTCGATGGGGTTGTTTGTTTTTTTCTTGTAATTTTGTTTGAGTTCTTTGTAGATACTGGATATTAGCCCTTTGTCAGATGAGTAGGTTGTGAAAATATTCTCCCATTTTGTAGGTTGCCTGTTCACTCTGATGGTAGTTTCTTTTGCTGTGCAGAAGCTCTTTAGTTTAATTAGAGCCCATTTGTCAATTTTGAATTTTGTTGCCATTGCTTTTGGTGTTTTGGACATGAAGTCCTTGCCCATGCCTATGTCCTGAATGGTAATGCCTAGGATTTTTTTCTAGGGTTTTGATGGTTTTAGGTCTAACATTTAAGTCTTTAATCCATCTTGAATTGATTTTTGTATAAGGTGTAAGGAAGGGAGCCAGTTTCAGCTTTCTACATATGGCTAGCCAGTTTTCCCAGAACCATTTATTAAATAGGGAATCCTTTCCCCATTGCTTGTTTTTCTCAGATTTGTCAAAGATCAGATAGTTGTAGATATGCGGCGTTATTTCTGAGGGCTCTGTTCTGTTCCATTGATCTATATCTCTGTTTTGGTACCAGTACCATGCTCTTTTGGTTACTGCAGCCTTGTAGTATAGTTTGAAGTCAGGTACTGCGATGCCTCCAGCTTTGTTCTTTTGGCTTAGGATTGCCTTGGCGATGTGGGCTCTTTTTTGGTTCCATATGAACTTTAAAGTAGTTTTTTCCAATTTTGTGAAGAAAGTCATTGGTAGCTTTACGGGGATGGCATTGAATCTGTAAATTACCTTGGGCAGTATGGCCATTTTCACGATATTGATTCTTCCTACCCATGAGCTTGGAATGTTCTTCCTTTGTTTGTACCCTCTTTTATTTCCTTGAGCAGTGGTTTATAGTTCTCCTTGAAGAGGTCCTTCACATCCCTTGTAAGTTGGATTCCTAGGTATTTTATTCTCTTTGAAGCAATTGTGAATGGGAGTTCACTCATGATTTGGCTCTCTGTTTGTCTGTTGTTGGTGTACAAGAATGCTTGTGATTTTTGTACATTGATTTTATATCCTGAGACTTTGCTGAAGTTGTTTATCAGCTTAAGGAGATTTTGGGCTGAGACAATGGGGTTTTCTAGATATACAATCATGTCGTCTGCAAACAGGGACAATTTGACTTCCTCTTTTCCTAATTCAATACCCTTTATTTCCTTCTCCTGCCTAATTGCCCTGGCCAGAACTTCCAACACTATGTTGAATAGGAGTGGTGAGAGGGCATCCCTGTCTTGTGCCAGTTTTCAAAGGGAATGCTTCCAGTTTTTGACCATTCATTCAGTATGATATTAGCTGTGGGTTTGTCATAGATAGCTCTTATTATTTTGAAATACGTCCCATCAATACCTAATTTATTGAGAGTTTTTAGCATGAAGGGTTGTTGAAATTTGTCAAAGGATTTTTCTGCATCTATTGAGATAATCATGTGGTTTTTGTCTTTGGCTCTGTTTATATGCTGGATTACATTTATTGATTTGCGTATATTGAATCAGCCTTGCATCCCAGGGATGAAGCCCACTTGATCATGGTGGATAAGCTTTTTGATGTGCTGCTGGATTCTTTTGCCAGTATTTTATTGAGGATTTTTGCATCAATGTTCATGAATGATATTGGTCTAAAATTCTCTTTTTTGGTTGTGTCTCTGCCTGGCTTTGGTATCAGAATGATGCTGGCCTCATAAAGTGAGTTAGGGAGGATTCTCTCTTTTTCTGTTGATTGGAATAGTTTCAAAAGGAATGGTACCTGTTCCTTCTTGTACCTCTGGTAGAATTCGGCTGTGAATCCATCTGGTCCTGGACTCTTTTTGGTTGGTAAACTATTGATTATTGCCACAATTTCAGCTCCTGTTGTTGGTCTATTCAGAGATTCAACTTCTTCCTGGTTTAGTCTTGGGAGAGTGTATGTGTCAAGGAATTTATCCATTTCTTCTAGATTTTCTAGTTTATTTGCGTAGAGGTGTTTGTAGTATTCTCTGATGGTAGTTTGTATTTCTGTGGGATCAGTGGTGATATCCACTTTATCATTTTTTATTGTGTCTATTTGACTCTTCTCTCTTTTTTTCTTTATTAGTCTTGCTAGCAGCCTATCAATTTTGTTGATCCTTTCAAAAAAGCAGCTCCTGGATTCATTAATTTTTTGAAGGGTTTTTTGTGTCTCTATTTCCTTCAGCTCTGCTCTGATTTTAGTTATTTCTTGCCTTCTGCTAGCTTTTGAATGTGTTTGCTCTTGCTTTTCTAGTTCTTTTAATTGTGATGTTAGGGTGTCAATTTTGGATCTTTCCTGCTTTCTCTTGTGGGCATTTAGTGCTATAAATTTCCCTCTGCACACTGCTTTGAATGCGTCCCAGAGATTCTGGTATGTTGTGTCTTTGTTCTCGTTGGTTTCAAGGAACATCTTTATTTCTGCCTTCATTTCGTTATGCATCCAGTAGTCATTCAGGAGCAGGTTGTTCAATTTCCATGTAGTTGAGCGGTTTTGAGTGAGATTCTTAATCCTGAGTTCTAGTTTGATTGCACTGTGGTATGAGAGATAGTTTGTTATAATCTCTGTTCTTTTACATTTGCTGAGGAGAGCTTTACTTCCAAGTATGTGGTCAATTTTGGAATAAGTGTGGTGTGGTGCAGAAAAAAATGTATATTCTATTGATTTGGGGTGGAGAGTTCTGTAGATGTCTATTAGCTCCACTTGGTGCAGAGCTGAGTTCAATTCCTGGGTGTCCTTGCTAACTTTCTGTCTCGTTGATCTGTCTAATGTTGACAGTGGGGTGTTAAAGTCTCCCATTATTAATGTGTGGGAGTCTAAGTCTCTTTGTAGGTCACTCATGACTTGCTTTATGAATCTGGGTGCTCCTGTATTGGGTGCATATATATTTAAGACAGTTAGCTCTTCTTGTTGAATTGATCCCTTTACCATTATGTAATGGCCTTCTTTGTCTCTTTTGATCTTTGTTGGTTTAAAGTCTGTTTTATCAGAGACTAGGATTGCAACCCCTGCCTTTTTTTGTTTTCCATTCGCTTGGTAGATCTTCCTCCATCCTTTTATTTTGAGCCTATGTGTGTCTCTGCACGTGAGATGGGTTTCCTGAATACAGCACAATGATGGGTCTTGACTCTTTATCCAATTTGCCAGTCTGTGTATTTTAATTGGAGCATTTAGTCCATTTACATTTAAAGTTAATATTGTTATGTGTGAATTTGATCCTGTCATTATGATGTTAGCTGGTGATTTTGCTCATTAGTTGATGCCGTTTCTTCCTAGTCTCGATGGTCTTTACATTTTGGCATGATTTTGCATTGGCTGGTACCTGTTGTTCCTTTCCATGTTTAGCGCTTCCTTCAGGAGCTCTTTTAGGGCAGGCCTGATGGTGACAAAATCTCTCAGCATTTGCTTGTGTGTAAAGTATTTTATTTCTCCTTCACTTATGAAGCTTAGTTTGGCTGGATTTGAAATTCTGGGTTGAAAATTCTTTTCTTTAAGAATGTTGAATATTGGCCCCCACTCTCTTCTGGCTTGTAGGGTTTCTGCTGAGAGATCCGCTGTTAGTCTGATGGGCTTCCCTTTGAGGGTAACCCGACCATTCTCTCTGGCTGCCCTTAACATTTCTTCCTTCACTTCAACTTTGGCGAATCTGACAATTATGTGTCTTGGAGTTGCTCTTCTCGAGGAGTATCTTTGTGGCGTTCTCTGAATTTCCTGAATCTGAACGTTGGCCTTCCTTGCTAGATTGGGGAAGTTCTCCTGGATAATATCCTGCAGAGTGTTTTCCAACTTGGTTCCATTCTCCCCATCACTTTCAGGTACACCAATCAGCCGTAGATTTGGTCTTTTCACATAGTCCCATATTTCATGGAGGCTTTGCTCATTTCTTTTTATTCTGTTTTCTCTAAACTTCCCTTCTCACTTCATTTCATTCATTTCATCTTCCATTGCTGATACCCTTTCTTGCAGTTGATCGCATTGGCTCCTGAGGCTTCTGCATTCTTCACATAGCTCTCGAGCCTTGGTTTTCAGCTCCATCAGCTCCTTTAAGCTCTTCTCTGTATTGGTTATTCTAGTTATATATTCTTCTAAATTTTTTTAAAGTTTTCAACTTCTTTGCCTTTGGTTTGAATGTCCTCCCGTAGCTCAGGGTAATTTGGTCATCTGAAGCCTTCTTCTCTCAGCTCGTCAAAGTCATTCTCCATCCAGCTTTGTTCCGTTGCTGGTGAGGAACTGCGTTCCTTTCGAGGAGGAGAGGCGCTCTGTGTTTTAGAGTTTCCGGTTTTTCTGTTCTGTTTTTTCCCCATCTTTGTGGTTTTATCTACTTTTGGTCTTTGATGATGGTGATGTACAGATGGGTTTTTGGTGTGGGTGTCCTTTCTGTTTGTTAGTTTTCCTTCTAACAGACAGGACCCTCAGCTGCAGGTCTGTTGGAATACCCTGCCATGAGAGGTGTCAGTGTGCCCCTGCAGGAGGGTGCCTCCCAGTTAGGCTGCTCAGGGTTCAGGGGTCAGGGACCCACTTGAGGAGGCAGTCTGCCCGTTCTCAGATCTCCAGCTGCGTGCTGGGAGAACCACTGCTCTCTTCAAAGCTATCAGACAGGGACATTTAAGTCTGCAGAGGTTACTGCTGTCTTTTTGTTTGTCTGTGCCCTCCCCCCAGAGGTGGAGCCTACAGAGGCAGGCAGGCCTCCTTGAGCTGTGGTGGGCTCCACCCAGTTGGTGCTTCCCGGCTGCTTTGTTTACCTAAGCAAGCCTGGGCAATGGCGGGCGCCCCTCCCCAGCCTCGTTGCCGCCTTGCAGTTTGATCTCAGACTGCTGTGCTAGCAATCAGTGAGACTACGTGGGCGTAGGTCCCTCCGAGCCAGTTGCAGGATATAATCTCTTGGTGGGCCGTTTTTTAAGCCGGTCTGAAAAGAGCAATATTCAGGTGGGAGTGACCCAATTTTCCAGGTGCGTCCATCACCCCTTTCTTTGACTTGGAAAGGGAACTCCCTGACCCCTTGCACTTCCCAAGTGAGGCAATGCCTCGCCCTGCTTCAGCTCGCGCACGGTGCGCGCACCCACTGACCTGCGCCCACTGTCTGGCACTCCCTAGAGAGATAAACCCGGTACCTCAGATGGAAATGCAGAAATCACCCGTCTTCTGCGTCGCCCATGCTGGGAGCTGTAGACCGGAGCTGTACCTATTCAGCCATCTTGGCTCCTCCCCTCATAACCTTATATACTTTTAAAAAGCACTGATATCTGTTTGCACTATCTTGTCTATAGAATACACACACCAAACATGATTATAGCTCTTCTGCTATAAACTTCAAATGTCTAATTAATACAAAAATATAGAATGAGAAGAGTTCATTGCAATTTTTTTTTACCAAATAGAATATAGGAAAGATAGCTGCAAATATACCTGACACACTTATCTGGGAGTATGATGGTAGCCTTTTTATTTTATTTTATTTTATTTGAGAGAGGGTCTCACTTTGTCACCCAAGATGGAGTGCAGTTATGTGATTAGGGCTCACTGAAGCCTTCATATACTGTGCTCAAGCGATTCTCCCACCTCAGCTTCCTGAGTAGCAGGGAATGCAGGTGCATGACACCATACTAGCTAATTTTTGTAAAGATGGGGTTTCACCATGTTGCCCTGGCTGATCTCCAACTCCTGGACTCAAGTGATCTGGCCACCTTGGCTTCCGAAAGTGCTGGGATTATAGTTTGAGGCACCGCGATCAGCCCAGCCTTAAAAAAGGCTGACTAGAGATCTTTATCTATGTATATCTATATCTATCTATAAAATAAACATATGTGTTTATTATATAAAAATATACATTATTAATATTATATAAAAATTTTTTTTCAAGATAGAAATATATAAAGAGGGTGCATGTAGAGCCTCTGTCATTGTGTAGTGAAGCTCAAAGCCTCTGAAGAAATGCCCCTTGCCTCTTTTGTCTGTGCTAGAATCCGACAAGGGAAAGCAGCAGATGCACTGGTTTCCAGGTTCTTGGCATCCTACAGAGAGAAACATGTTTGAGCTAGGGTAGCATTAAACACCCTTGTTCTTACTCTCCTGTTTTATGTAGTGAGCAGAGACTAGCTTCATGAGAACAGACTGTGACAGTCAAGGCTGTCTGTTATTTTGTGCAGCATTAATTGAGAAATTCTAGCACCTGAAGACCTCTGGGCCATTGGAGGGTAGGTGCAGGGGAGGAAAGGGAAGTTTGCATCCCTCCTGCTGTGGAGAGAACCCGTGGGAAGCACAGACCTTGTCCTAACTGAAGGCAGACCCCTTGCTAACCAGCTTCTCATCAGCCAACCCTGGATGAGTTTCCATGTCTATTTACTAAATAATCCTTATTGCTTTTCTTCATATGGGCAAAGTATGGTTTACAGGGACTATTGTTCCTTTGAACACCCATCGTGCAAACCCCTTCCTGTTGTGGGAAAACAGGCTTCCATATGTGTCTTATTGGGAAACACATAGGCAATTTCTATGTTTTTCTGCATCTATTTCATGGATATGGGAACTGAATAGTGCCCATCAAAGTCTCACCTGATGTTGGAAATTGATCTGAGAGCGCGGAAGGACAGAATTCTTTCTTTGTTCCTGGGCAGCGGTGGTTGAGGGATCATTTTATGGCAGCTACAGTGGCAATGATGGAAGCAGAATGGAGGGCTCAGTACCAAGACAAGGAGAGACTTGGCCTCACAATGGCAGCATTGCAGGGGTGCGCTCTACAGAGCATTTGCTCACATGGTTTTGGGCATTGTCTCTAACTACATTGCTTCCCCAATAGGTTGACCCATTCTAAATAACTCCTTTCCTCTTTAAAAAAGCAAACTTCATTTGTATGACTTGCAATTGTAAATGACACCAATTGGCCAGTTATCATTCAAATTCTCTGTTACATAATCCTGCATTTTCCTGACATATGCAACTTTCCCCTAAAAAATTGGACACTTTGTTGCTTACTCATTGTCTTTACACATTTTAAAATGTTGATTTATGCCCCAATCCCTAACTACATTTTCAATGTTTTGCAAGTGGAGTCCATGTATTCTTGATTTACATGAAGCTCAAAATAATGGTTATATTAACTAGTACTTCAACATTAAGCAAAAAGCTCTTATTGAAAAATGACAGAACTATAGATAGAGATGACAACATGGAGAGATATTTCCTGAGATCACAAAGTTATGGTATGACAGAACTAGAACATTGAGAAGAGACTCTGTGTTCCCAATCATTATTTCTACCACCAGCTTTCTATTTTGATGTTAATAATGTTCTTATGTGGGCAACCCTACGTATTTGCAAATATTTAGTTCATTGACAAAGAAATAGAGCTTCAAGAACACTCTAATCTTTAAAAAATAAAATATCTATAATTGGCCATACGAAAAAATTGGTACTTGACATATACTGAGATCGTTTTATTTTGTGCTAGACAAATGAAGTCATAGAACAGAATGTGCTTTAAGTTTTATGAATAGTGCTTGCGTGTGTTTGTGTGTGTCTATAGATGCATATTAGGCTGTTGAAAAGTTTTATTATTCTTTCCAGGAGAGAGATTGCCAACTTTTGTACCTAATTAGAACAAGTAGATTGCTTCTTCATATTTTTATTAAGGCAAAGAGAGTCTAGTTAAAAATAATTCAACTTATCGTGGAAATGCTATAAATTGCTGTGAAGTGAGTTGCTGGCTATGGCTTGTCAGAGCAAATATATTGTACAAATCCTAGGGGAGAATTAGTGCTTGTGCATTAAAATCAAATCATCTTGCAGCATACTGAGAAAAAGGTTAGATTTTTAAAATAATGTCAAAGTCATGAAAAGAGCAAATATGCTCAACAAAGAGCCTAGCAACCCTCAATGACCAATTCCCCTTTTATATAGTTTGATATCTGAATTAGAATGCCAGAATCTACAAATTCCTCTGCGTGTGGGTGCTGCATTTTGAGGATTTTATAACACTGCCATCACCAAGCTCTCTTTTGATATTCACTTTAAGGAGATAATTTACGGGCAACCAGAGAGCATAAACCAAAGTAGATATCTATCTAGATATATAGATACATCTCCATATCATTGACAGGATACCTTCTGGCCGAGTGTGAGTACAACCTATGGGTGTGGTTGGAGAGAACATGTGTTCCACCTGAATGGCAGATCAGGATTATTCCTTCTCATCTGCTACAATGGCTCAATGTGTTAAGGAGAGGAGTGAGACAGCAAGAACTGCATTCATTCAGTCATACAGACCAAAAGGAGGAATGTCGCCCAGCACTCTAAACTGACCCAGAACCCAGCTCATGTCTCAACTGATACCTCTACTATTTAGAAAGAAGTAACTCCGCCAAAGCAGGGTTCTGGACAAATATATTTTTATTGATCACATACAAATAGATGAAGATGGACTTGGATGTTAAGAAAAATAATACTATACAAAATCAAGAATAGACAGTCACTCCTAGACTTAAAGTAAGAGTGTGTACATTTGATAATTTAATCCAATGTATCAGGTAAAAACTTGAACAAACCTTTTGGCCTCTTCCATAAAATTCAGGGAAGCATGTCCTCCACAAAACAGTATCAAAATATAAATAAAAGACTGGCTTAAGATGAAAGGAAACGTTATGAATGAAAAGAAGCCAGATGAGAGGCACTTAACTGAGAATGAAAGGAAACTGAGTGGACAAAATAATTATGAGAAGATGAACCTTCAAATCAGAAAGAGGGAAAAAAGTTTATTTGATACTATGGGAACTCAAAAGAGAGTGAACACAAATGTGAAAATTCCAAGAATACAGGAAAGTAGCATAACTAAATTAAGAGCATGAGAAAATGTATAGAATTTTGAGTAATAAGAACAGAAATCAAAAGTTAGTATTGTATGTTATATTTCAGTAGAGCAACACTGAAGAAGAATGAAAACAAGAAATAATATTAAATATGAACATATGGAGAACAGAATAATATTTTAAAAATTTTGTGTTTCTAAGTTTACCTGAAATTTTAATTTTGGTTTCTTATGTAATACCAGAGTTATTAGGAAGTTATTAGCTAATAACACTATTTTCAGTGATATTTTAAGTATTTGTCCTAGAAAAATTTCTATTTTTTAAAAATGTATATTAAAAAATACATTAAATGTGTATATATATCAATCATATGTATCAATTTCTGTTTTTTTTGAATTGCAAATGAAATCTCTATTTTTGTGTTCCTGGAAAAAATAAACTTGACTGGATTGTATTATATTATTCATGCTGTAATTCAATGTATTTGAATACTTTAAGAATGTTACATTTATAGTTAACAGACATTGACCTATAAATTTTCTATCATATAATGATGCTGTGAGACAATCTAAGAAGAATTAAAATTTAAATTCATGTATTCCTACTTTTTCCTCTGTTCTCTAACTGTAATATATTTTAATTACAGATGGAGGAACAGATAGATGTTAGATAAATAGGTATATAATAGATAGATCATCCAAAATTCTTATTCTTATGGTTTTATGCAGTCAATATTTACCTCTAATTTTCTACATGTTTATCCTTCCAATTAAGTTCATTACTTCCTGCACCTTTGATGTCATATATATAAACAGGAAATAACACCTGGTGGCCGGGATGTAGAGAGAGCCACAAGACTTGTGAATACAATCCACAGGCAAGCATGTGGCGATTCCTTTTGCAGTTTTGGAGGGAATGCCAAACCCTATGTTTGCTGTGGAAAAGAGTATGGTAGTTCCTCAAAACATCAAAATGATATTGCCATATGACTCAGCAGCGCCACATCTCAGGATAGCAAAAGAATTGAAAGCAGAGTCTTGAAAAAGTATTTGCACATCCATGTTTGCAGCAGCATTATTGGCAATAGCTAAAACGTAGAAGCAAGTGAAGTGTCCAACAACAGATGAATGGATAAGCACAATATGATATATACATGCAATGGAAAATTATTCAGCCTTAAACATGAGGGAAATATTCTGACATATGTTGCAACTTGGATGAAACTTGAGGATATTATGCCAAGTGAAATAAGTTAGTCAGTGAAGGACAAATACAGTATAATTCCATTTGTATAAGGGACTTAAAGTGGACAGAATCACAGAGATAGTACAATGATGGTTGCCAGAAGCTGGGGGGAGGAAGAAATGGGGAAGTATTGTTTAATGGGTATAGAGTTTCAGTTTCAGAAGATGAAACGAGTTATGGAGATGGATGGTAGGGATGGCTGCACAATGTTATGACTGTATTTAGTGCCACTGAACTGTACACTTAAAATGGTTAACAGAGTACATTTTATGTTATGTGTATTTTATCACAATAAAAAAATAAAATACCTTAGGAACATTTTCATGAAAGAGTCCACATAAAATTCATTTTAATGCATGTGTTTATGCATAGCTTTCTATTTTTCTCTTTTCTATTTTTATTCCAAATTAGAATATAATGCTAATCAACCATAGTGGCTGTGTTTCTTGCTTCCTCTAGTCTGCAGGTAGCATACAAATGTAATAAACTACTTACTCATGTCACATCTATTTATTTTCTGCCTTATACCAAGCTTGTGGGATTCTGTTAAATACAACATTTTTATACTTACACCTAGACAATACCCACTAGCATCGCCTTCCTAAATCAGGGGAAATTGGGCCTCTGTAAGGTGGAGTAACTTCCTAAGATACAAAACTCAGCATTAAAGTCTGTATACTTCAATAACCTGCCCCCTTCTCATTTGTCTTTACTGCCTTTTATGTATGTGCTAGATGTTCAATAAATTCTCTTTTTTAAACTGAATTTAAGCCGTGGAGCAGTGTTTTGTTGAACAATAAGTATGATATAGGACACTCTTCCTCCCTTTCATTTATGATGCAGTTCATGAAAAAGAGAAATTCTTTCATTGTGCTAGAAGCTTAAAGTAATGAAAATGCCACGTTCTACATTAAACAGAAACTGAAGGGAATCAAGGTGAATTGCGTGAGACGTAGAAAACAAGTGGGAAAAAATCTAGTATAATTTGCCCTTTGTGTGCCTTTATTATTTAGCGTTTGAGTAAATGTTTCCCCCAAATATCTTCCCATCTTAATTCATGTCTATAAAGTAGACATTTATGTCTCACCTTGTCAAGAAGGGCAAACTCTAACATAAACATTTCCCAAAAAATGCTTCCTGCTAAAACGTAAGCTCAGTCTGGCTAGAAATTAAGCTCACTTCATAAAGATTAATTGGTAGCTGTCCATCAGGCATACAGGGAATGACGGAAAAGGTGACAACAGAAGATGAATGCTATGTTACTAACCTTCAAATGTGACCTTCCTTTTCTTTTAAATTCTTGATATCTTAAGACTTCATTAACTCATCTCTCTTCGCCCTTGGTTCAACATTGTGCTATACCAAAACTCATGTAAAACAATGATCTAAGGTAATAAAAATGGCATTTTTCTTTCATGTAGATGCAAGCTAATTGGCATTTTTACAATCAACATATTTTCTTTGTCAGTTTTTCATTCTGTATTGGAAGTAATTCATGGGTATTTCTGAAGGGAAGAGGGTGTTTCTGTGTTCATTGTGATCCAAACTGTTTTTAGACCTAGTGGCGTTTGTAAAACAATTTGTGCCAGCTGACGAAGGACCACTGTGGCAGAAAGCAGCAAACTTGCATAAGATGTCACTGCCTCATAAGTTGGCTTTGAAAACTAGGGGCTTACTCTATAGTCTTATGAATCAAAGACATTGATAGATGTAGTGTAAGATTACAATCATATTTTCCTTTTGACAGTCACATTATAAAGCATGATGTATTGCAATTAATCTCAACTAGCTGATCACAATTAAAATTGATAATGTTTATTATTGCTGATAAAAATCATGACTCTCCTGTTCTCAAATGCGCAAGTAATTCTTGTAATTTTAATACAAATTTGCATATTATCACTAATTGATTTAATCTCATTGTATTTGGTTCATGGGCCCAATTTATTAAAATGTTGATAATGGGTAATGATTTGTCTCCCCATTTCATTTACACTAAAAGCCACAATTCTTACAATGGTCTGCAAGCCCATCATGATCTGCCACATGTTAACCACCCAAATTCTTTTATATCTTCACCTTTGATCTTACCAGTGTTCCTGGCCACCTCACTGTCCTCTAGACATGCCAACATGCTGCTGTCTTATGACGAAGACTAGTTAGTTTCTTGGCTTGGAAAGATAGCCCTCCATATATCCATTGATCAGTTCATTCAACTTCCTCAAGTCTTTACTGAAACCTCACATTCTCGATGAGACCTATTCAGTATTTCAAACTGCCTCCCAGCTGCAACAGTCCAAAACCCCATAGTCTTCTGTGTGTTTTTGAAAGGATTAATTGAGATATAATTTACATACTGTAGAATGCACATATTAATTTCTGCAAGTCAATGGCTTTTAGTATATATACAGATAAGTGGAGCCATCATCACAATGAATTTTAGAGCATTTTCATCACTTCAAAAAGAAACCCCACCTTCTCTAGCTGTTAACCTCCTATGTATTCATCCCCTACTCAATCCTAAGCAACCACAAATCTGTTTTCTGTCTCTGTAGATCTTCCTATTCTATTTTCATCTAAATAGAATCATACAATAGGTGGCCTTTTGTGCCTGGCTTCTTTCAGTTGGCATAATGCTATCAAGGTTCATATGCGTATTGGTACTTTATTTCTTTTTATAACTGTATAACATTCAATTTCATGGATATAACATTTTGTTTATCCAATAATATTTTTATTGACATTTGAGTTGTGCTCAGCCTTTGGCTATTTTAAATACTACTGTTAAAATACTTGTGTACAATTTGTGTTTGAACACCTCTTTCCAATACTCTGGGGGTATACCTGGGAATAAATTTCTGGGTCATATGACAATTCTATGTTTAATATATTTAGAAGCCATCAACCTATTTTCCAAAGTGGCCAGTTCTAGCCATAGAGTATCTAACTGTGGTTTTGATTTGTAGTTGCCTGATGAGTGATGCTGTTGAGTATCTTTTTATGGGATTATTGACCGTTAATGTATCTTCTTGGGATACACATCTAATCCTATCATTTATCCGTTTTGAGTTGGGATTTTTGTTACTGAGTTAAAACAATTTTTCTATATTCAGGATACATATATAAGCAGACATATAGATATGTGTTTCTCAAATGTTTTCTCACAATTTTTGAGCTGCCTTTTGCCTTGCTTGGTTGTCCTTTGAAACACCAATGTCTTTAATTTTTAAGAAATTTTAAATATCTAATTTTTATTTTGTTGCTCATGTTTTTGGTGTTACAGCTATTTCTTTGCTAGATCCAAAATCCTGAAGATTTTCGCATATGCCTTATTCTAGCTCTTGCATGTATGTCTTTAATTCATTTGAGTTAATATTTTTGTATGCTTTGGGGTAAGGGTTCCAATTTACTATTTTGCAAGTGGTGATCCACGTGTACGTTGTTGACCCAGTTTGTTCAAAGACTGTCTCTTCCTCATTGAATTGCACATGGCACCACTTTAAGAATCCATTGACTATAGATACGTAGTTTTATATATGGACTCTCAATTCTCTTCCATCAATCTATATATTTTTCCTTCATCAGTATTGTGTTGCCTTGATTACTGATGCTTTGCCGTAAGGTTTGGAGGACGGGGGTGTGAATTATCCTAATATGTTTTCTTTTTTTCAAGACTATTTTGGCAATTTTGAGTCCCTTACAATCCCATGTGTATTTTAGAATCAGCTTGTCAGTTTCTAGACAGAAGTCTGTTGGGATACTTGCAGGGATTACGTCAAACCTGTATTTCAACTTGTAAAGTACTACAATATTAAATCTTCCAATTCATGGGTGGAAGATGTTTGCTAACTATTTAGATATTCTTTAAACAATAATTTTTATATTTCAGAGTAAAATCTTGTATCATATTTTCAAATTAATTATTATTTCTTTTTTTGATGCTATTTTAAATTGAAGTGTTTTCTTAATTTCATTTTGGGGTTTTCATTGTAGATGTGTGCAGTTGATTTTTGTACATTTATCTTGTATGCTGTAATATTGCTGAAATAATTTACTAGTTCTATCGTTCAATGGATTCTTTAAAATTTTCTATATACAAGAATGTTATTTGCAAATAAAGTTTTATTTCTTCCTGTTCAATATGGGTGACTCTTATTTCTTTACTTGCCGATTTGCCCTGCATAAAATGTTTAGTACAGTGTTGACTAGAAGAGGTCAAAGTATATATCCTATTCTTATCTCTGACCACAGTGGGAAAGCATCCTTTACCATTAAGTTGCATGCTTGCTGTTGGCTTTTCACAGGTGCCATGTATCTGGTGTAGAAAGTTCTCTATTCCTGGTTCATTGAGTTTTTATTTTTATTTGTAATCATTAAAGCATTTGGATTTTGTTAAATGTCTTTTCTGAATCTATCGACATGATCATGCAATTCTTGTTTCTTATTCTATGGGTAAGATGTATTACCTTAATGGATTTTGGGCTGTTAAACCAACCTGAGATTACTAGTATAAATTTCACTTTGTCATAGTGTATAATTCTTTTATATGTTGCTAGATCTGATTTGTTAGTATTTTTTAAGGAATTTTGCATTTATACTTATAGTAGTTTTATTTTTCTATGCTATTTAGACTAATTTTTATATCAAGGTAACACTGGCCCCACAGAATAAATTGGGAAGTGAATATTTCTCTTTTTAAAAAAGTCAGTCAAGAATTAATATCAATTAGTCAATACTAACAAATATGATTACTATTATAAATTATTAATTTCTCTAATTTTTATTTTCTTCCTTCTGCTTGCTTTAGGTTTAGTTTGCTATTCTTTCCAGTGTCTTAATGTGGAAGGTCATATTATCTCCTCCTTTCCTTTGTCTTTTCATTTTCGAAATAGTGTCTTTTTAGCATCAGGTGAGCTCCCCAGGTTGGTAGTACTCCATGTTTATTGCTGTACAACAATGACAGGTAATATGTCCTGAAGACAATGGAAACTTAACATTCAAAATCCTCCTAGATTCCACCTTATGTGATATGTCTCTTCCTTTGATTGGTCCTCATTTCTACACTATCTCTATTATAAACCATGAGTACAATGGCATTCAATGAGTTCTGTGAGTCTTTTTAGTAAATTCTTGAAACTGAGGGTGTTCTGGGGAAACCCCTGAACTGGCAGTTGGTGACAAAAGTGAGAATCATCTTATATGTCCTCTTCCTTTGAACTTTGCAGCTGGACCCAAACTCTGCACAATTTGGGCCAGAAGTCTCGTGTTGACTTTGCAGCCTAAATTATCTTGTAGTTTGTGTAACCCTCAATAAATTTGCTTTCATCAAATATTGTATTTGTTACCCCAAAATTACGATCATGTTTCTTTTCTCCAAATAACTAACATTGGGAGAAATAGCCAGCTGAATCTGTAACTCAACAGAAACAAGTGATCCATATACCATATAAGTGGCCATTTCATTTTGCCTTCTTCCACCAAATCTTAGCAACCTCAACCATTGCCATGAGCCACTGTAGGCCTACCATCTACAAACAAACAAGTATCTTTTAAAAACACTTCATACTCCCATTTGATAAATTTCCCAGCAAAGAGATGTTTACTTTAACTCTATGCAAGTGGCTCATATAAACAAAGTCTGGAGATATTATTCATGTAGTGTGAGAAAATCATCCCAGCGATGCCAGCACATTCTCCTTCCCATGATCTGCTTAGTTTGCAAACATATTCAGGCCATAGGTGAGAGATTTGTATTTCGCAGTACAACAATTTTATGGAGGTCACTGAAACTTAGATTTAGCATTTTAGCACAGTCACGCATCACTGAATGACAGGGATACGTTCTAACAGATGCATCCATAGGCAATTTCATCATTTTGCAAACGTCAGAGAGAATATTACAAACAACTAGTTTGTACAGCCTACCACGTTTAGGTTATATGGTATAACCTCTCTCTCCTAGGCTACAAACCTGTGTATACATTACTATACTGAATACTGCAGGCAATAAGAACACAGTGGTTAGAGTTTATGTATGTAAACATACTTAAACATAGAAAAGTATGTAAAAATATCTATTATAATCTCATGGGACCACTTTTGCATAAGTAATCCATCTTTGACTGAAATATTATTATACATGACATGACTCTATGACAAAAATAATACATTTTAAAAAATGTACACATGTATCAAACATATTATAAAAATAAAAATATTTATTCAGTGTAAGAATTTGTAATGATCACAGCTTATATTTAAGTACAGTTTCACATGCCTAGTGCAATTACTATTTATTTCTTTGTGTATTTTAAACATGTATATAATAAATATTTTTCAGATTCAACAATATATATCAATCCTACAGGTTCTTATAAATATTAGTTAAAATCAATTGGTAAATTCATGTGTATATATGCATACCTGTATCAGTGAGCGTGTGTGCATGTATGTTTGTGTAAATGTAATTGTATGTGTGTGTAAATGTAATTGGATGCATCCTTATATTTACCCTTACCTACAAGATTTCCAACATTCGTTTATGATCTTTAGATGTTGGGCATTTAAAGATTTACCAAATACAACTGTAAGAGTGGAAAATATTAAGATGTTATTAAATTCATCTTGTGCACATAATTGTTTCTATAAATTTATGTTTCTTGCAAAACTTGCAGTAATGCTCATGCACAAAATAATTTTCTAAATAAAAAATAAAAACGCTTTCTCAGTCATTAATTCTTAAAATTATTTCTCCCCAATAATTAATGTGATTTAATTCTTAATTCTTAATTATAGAATAATGTTGCCCTTCAGATTTCGGAAATTTTTACATGTTGTACACATTTCACTAACCAGAACAACTTCTGAAATATTGGCATTAATTAATGTCACTCAGCAATTATTGATTTCAAAGGCATTAAATACCATTCATATTCTGAATCACAAGGGTACTTTGGCATCTTATTTAATCAAGCTCTTTGTATCATCATCTACACTTTAATTACTTAACAAACATTTCTCTGTGTGAGAGATTGAGCAGGTTATTGTGCTTTCTTAAGATGCAACTTTTGCTTAATCTAGAGATAGGCAATGCTCCCTATAAGGGACAAGGAGAAAAATAAATGAGCAATAGAGATGTGACAGGCATGGAAAAAGACACTACATTTATCAAACAAATAGGGCCACGGATGACGATAATGGGGATGAAATCTTGAGATACTGACTCAGTTTATAACCGCACTGTATAATAGAGCAAATTATTTGTTAATCTTTTTACAAATGGAATTTAATTTAATTAAGATGAATACAGGGTTTTAAACAAGGCAGGTCATCTTAAAATAAAATAGTGGAATAAAGTGATAAAACCAATGTAAAAATCGTAAACATTTTATAAAGAATTTTTGTCATGTAATTTAATATTTTTGTTCATTTAAAATCACCCAAATCAAAATAATTTTATCTTAATTAACAAATAATCATCAGAAGTTTAACTAATTTTTACTTTATAATAGTAGGTTTAAAAATTCTTAACTATATTTTTAATCACATATGTTTATATATAAAATAGACATAGGATATATATTTACATGTTCACAATATTATATTGTAATTGCTCCTATGGATGTGGTTTTTCAATAGAATTAATAAGTACTTTTAAAAAGTTTCAATTTCAATGATGTGTATGATTGATTTTTCTTAGACAAAGCATACATATATTGATAGGTAATAATATGAAAATCTTCTAAAGGCATTACAGGAACATGAAAATGTAATTAAATACTCACTAATTTGTAATGTTTTATGTAAGCGAAACACATTTAACTGAAAATTGCTTTTATATAATACTCAAATGAGACTAAAAACTTTTAAACCATCGGAGTAAGTCTTCAAATTGATAATCTGAACTATATAAGAGGAGAAAGTTCAGGCACTCAAATATTTGAAATGCTACAAAATATTTATATAAACTATTATTTCACAATTTCTGTTTGTAGAGTGTTATACAGTAATCAATATAAATGACATCTCAAGTCTTTCTATAACTTTGACCACATTTACATCCTAATTTTAATTATTAATATGTTGGAGCAGTGCATACAACTAGATTCCAATCTTCCTTTTTAATGAGTAAAAATATGTCTTTGAGACAGCATTAAAGAAAGAGCACCTTGTATAAATTCAATGCCAAGAGACAAGATTTTCTTGATTCTGAAGTCTTGTTCTTTTATACAGCAATGTAATTAATAAGAAGAAAAGCAGGACATAGATGTGGAGCCTATTTTAATAAAAAATTATCTGTAGATTTTGATGATAAAATTTAAAACTCTACCGTATTTAGTTAGTTACAAAAAACTAGGTTGTGGGAACATATTTAGTCAATAAAACACCCCTACAAAATGCTGACAAGAAAAAAAGTTAGGTACCACCTTTCTTCTCTGCAGATGGTCTGAGATGGGTTAATTTGAAAGAATGCTTCCAAACCTGAGGTGACCCCTGAGAACAGCATAATCCACTGCTCTCTCCCACATTCAGTTTCTCAGTCTGTGCTCTTTTAATTTTTGGGGGAGGGAAGCCAGTCCTTTAAAGCAATCTTCAGCATGATGACAGAGCCAAGGAGTGTGGACAGGTGGCACGGTGTCTGACTTTGTTCCAGCAGCCACTTGGGCTTTCTCTGGATCTTCTCTGCCCTAGGGATAGCACCACTATTGAAAACATATCTTTGTGACATTCTCTATGCCAGGAACTCCCAACACATTTTCCTTGAAACTGATGAAATGAATAAAAATAAACCAAGAGGTGTGCTGCTTGTTTCTGTTTCCTCCTTTCTGCAGCCCTTCTTCATCATCTAATATTTTTAAATACATTGTCGATCATCAAAAGGAGCATAAGGGGTATATTGATTTGTAGCAGATGTATTAGTAGCCCAGCCCCTATTCCTTACCTGTAGCTGCTGGGAAGAAAACCATTCTTAACACTCTACAGGATCTCATCTCCAGAATTTGCAGCTGTTTCTAGCTGAGGACTTTCTCTAGCAGCACGGGAGTTTGATACTGGGCATGAAGTGGGAAGAAAAGTTGAAGGTAACTAAGAAGAATCTCCCTGGATTCAGTGATGTAATTCTGAGGCATGTTCCACATAGCTTCCCATAGAATTAAGCCCAGATATCTAACACAGGAACTTGCCTCTTAACACGTGTGGTACTGGCTTTTCTATCTTTCCTGTTTTATTTTGTTCTCTCTTCCTTGTCTCACTTTTGCTGTGTCCTCACTTCTGCTTTAAGAATGCCCAAACAAATACATTCATTTATTGTTTTAGACTCTCAGAACACAGTTGATAGTTGAACTTGTAATCTATGACAATCAGCTTGGATGATATACTGACAGGAAGATAGTGAACTCACAATGTCTAATTAAGATAAAATTAAAAAGCATATTGATTCATGTCCAAAGATTTAAAAAACCTAAGCGGCAGTGTCACAATTTCTTCTTTTTAGTTTACATGGTTTCTTAAATGCCTACAATTGTTTTAAAGGAAGCCTTGAATCTAGGAAAAATTGAGATATATGGAATAAATTACTAACCCATTTCTCCTTGAAATCCATTAGATGCTTGATGATTTTTCACATATATTTCTGAATAGAAAAGCTAGTTGTGAATTATTTTTATAAGCATATCCTTATGTAATATTTTAACAGCGAATTGAAGGTTTAAAGTTTAAATTATTCTATCCAGAGAATAAAAAGCAATTATTTCATAAGGGGAACATGTGTACGTTGACACGACATTTTAAAATCTAGATTTTAAAATAGGTCCCATATACTTTTGTGTCAATTAGAATATGTTTGTATCAGTCTGTCTGCAGTTTTACACCTGTCTAAATGTACTTGAACTACAACAACTACCTTGAACAATTTTGAAATTTATGATTCCTCTGAAACTGATTAAAAGAATTATGGTAGAGTGAAATTCTGACTGACATAATTTGGGAGAGAAATTATTCCTTGGACATCAACCTCTGCCAAGATAGTTTATAATGACATTGAGGCTTTTTGATTTACACCATTTGTTATATAAAAAAATCCTAAGACAATGGCAGATAATACACAGACTTTAATTAAAATTGTACTACAATTAGAAGTCTAAATAAATTAGAAGTGTACATGGTACATCTAAATGTATGTTTATATATCTGTGCATTTTTTTCCTAGGGTTTCTTTTGCTTTAGTTTGTAAAACGTTCTTATTTTTATGATAATGTAGCATATACTAAATAAAGAAAAATCAGGAAATAGAAAATGAAGAAGAAAACATTAGCTATTGTCAACCAATTAAAAATTGTGCAATCTCTAAGCACATGAACTATGTAATATTTGTACAGCATAGTACAATGTTTATGCTTCACAGGGTGAGGTAGAGACTGCAAAACCTTGAACTTGGGACAAATAAGAAAGTAAGGAAATTTTCACAACTTATTAATATTATAGAAAATGTTGAACTTAACAGTTAAGATACAAGTAGTGAAAAATGATAGTATTTAAGGAGATCTAGAAATTTTAATATATACCTGTAATGTGTGAGAAGTATTAGAATAATGCTTGTATTTCTGGATTGGCATCAATTTCTATTGAGACTGGAAACATAATAGAAGTGAGCAAAAAAGAATTTAAATTGTGAATACTTGAGTTTTGTACCTAGGAGTTCGAGAAATACATTTTGTCACTATCAAAGCAGTTGGCACATACGTGTACAAAATTCCCTAATTGTGTCTATGTGGAGAAGACATAGACAAACAGAGAATACCAAAACAGAAATAGCAAAAAAAGCACAAATAAAATTTACCTGTATTTTTAAGTAAAAGCCAATTAGAGAAGGAAAACATGAAATTTGTGTTTTATCAAAATTTTTCTCTTTCTCATACTATAGTTGAATATATTACTGGAAAAAATTTGAAGCACTGGTATGTTCACAAATAAAAGTAAAATATAAGGTCAAAACCATGGGAATGCAGGGAGCAGACAAAATATAACTAAACGCTGAAACTGATTTTGCCCTACGGACATGTTGCAAAATAAATGAGTGCAGATTCCTACTGTCATACATCACGTAGGACAGTAAAGAAATACATAGTTTTTCCCAAGATAGGGCATCACACAGGAGCTCCTCCCTAAAGCTAGGACCAAAATTTCTATCCTCAGTATAAAGAAGAATCAGGTAAATTAGTCCCATTTCACATTCCCTGGAAATGGCAAATAAAAATGACTTGAGATTGGACAGATTTAAAGAAACTCAATCGTTAATGATTTACAGCAACTAATTTAAAAATTGTTTAAATGTGCAGTCCAAACATACGTCCGAACACCTTTAGGCCAAGAATTAACATAATGTGGTCCCAGAATGGTGGTGCCTTTAGTAGAATCACAAAAAAATTGAAATTCTCTTTGGCAAATTTTCTATTAATCAGCAAAAGTGCAGAAAAATAATTTTCAGAGAAAAATAAATATTTGTCTTTCAAAGGCATCTAAGTATGCAAGGAAATGATATTCCACCATTTGAAAGGGAAGCAGAAAAAGAGTACAAACAGATCCACAAAGGTTCATTAGTAGAAATATCACTGTTAGACTATTAAGTACATTTGCTTTCAAAAACTTTTAAAAAAATGAATATATTGTTAGGAGACTAAAAAATTCATGTAGCAAATTTGAAAATTAGTTTGTATAAAAATATAGTTATTTTAAATTAAAAACTCAAAAATGAACTCATCAGATTAGACATGGCCAAGGTGAGAGTTCATAAATGTTTCAGTATGCATTACAGAAAATTTTAAAAAATGTAAAATGTGGATAGAATGATGAAGAGACATGAAAGATACAGTGAGAAAGTGTAGCATGTGTTTAGAGAGTGTTCTCATAGAAGAAGGGCACTGGGAAGGGACAATATGTGATGTTATTTTGGCTGAAAGTTCCCTAGACTTTTGTAAGACACTAATCTGCATATTCAAAAATTCCATGCATGCTAAGCAAGCTACAATGGAGATAAACCTACACCTATGTATCTCCTAGAGAAATAGTAAACAACGAGGAAGGGAAAAATATTTCAATTAGCACAAGAAAAATGAAATTACTTTTAATCATATTGAAATCTGAAAAAAAATGAAAGGTAAAATAAACAATATTATTTGTTAAGAATAATAATGCCATTCTGAATTTCTAAACGAAGAAAAATATTCATCAACCTATGGCTAAATAACATATTTAGAGATAAAAAACAAAACACCACCAGCTGAATTCCACTAAAGAAACTAAAGTGAAACTCTGAAAATATGCTTCAGAAAGGTTGAAGTTCTGAAATCAAAGAATGAACAGAGAGTAAAATATATTGCAAACATACAGATAGAACAAATAAGAAACTGGGTTTTGAAACAAAAATATATTTAAAATTAGATAAGCACTGCAATATGTATGATAAAAAGAAAATTATTAGGGCTGAAGTATTCAAAGAACCCTTAATTGTCTGACAAGAGCAGAAAAGTGAGTATGACTTTGCAACTCTTTTTCTTTTTCGAATGGAATGGAATGGAATGGAATGGAATGGAATGGAATGGAATGGAATCAAATGGAATTGAATGGAGAGGAATGGAATGGAATGGGAGATGAGATTGTGCCATTGTGCTACAGGATGGGTGACAGAGTGAGACACTCTTGAAAGAAAGGAATGGAATGGAAAGCAGTGGAATAGAATGGAATGGAATGCAATGGAGTGGAATGGAGTGGAGTGGAGAGGAGTGGAATGGAGTGGAATGGAATCGGATGTAATGGAATGTAGTGGAATGGAATGGAATGGAAACATCATCGAATGGAATAGAACGGAATTATCATCGAATGGAATCAAACGAAATAATCAGCGATTGGAATCGAATGGAGTCATCATCGAATGGAATCGAAAGGCATCATCATCCAATGGACTTGAATGGAATCATCATCGAATGTACTCGAAAGGAATCATCATCGAATGGAATCAAATGGAATCATCATTGTATGGAAGCGAATGGAATCATCATCGAATGGAATTGAATGGAATCATCATCGACTGGAATGGAATGGTATCAGCATCAAAGGGAATAGAATGGAATTATCATCGAATGGAATCAAACGGAATCATCATCGAATGGAATCAAATGGAGTCATCATTGGAAGGAATCGAAAGGCAGCATCATCCAATGGACTTGAATGGAATTATCATTGAATGGATTCGAAAGGAATCATCATCGAATGGAATCAAATGGAATCATCACTGAATGGAAGCGAATGGAATCATCATCGAATGGAATCGAATGGAATCATCATTGAATGGAATCGAATTCCATCATCATCAAATGGAATCGAATGTAACCATCATCAAATGGAATCGAATGGAATCATCATTGAATGGAATCGAATGGAATCATCAGCAAATGTAATCAAATGGAATCATCGAATGGAATCTAAAGCAATCATCATCAAATGGACCTGAATGAAATCATCATTAAATGGAACAGAACGGAGTAATCAACAAATGGAATCAAGTGGACTCTTGATCGAATGGAATCATCATCGAATGGAATCAAACAGAATCATCAAATTGAATCGAATGGAAAGATGATCGAATGGAATCGAAGGGAATCATCGAGTGGGATCAAAAGGAATCATCGAAGGGAATCAAATGGAATCATCATTGAATGGAGTCAAATGGAATCATCATCAAATGGAATCTAATCGAATCATCAATGAAGGGAATCGAATGGAATCATCATCGAATGGAATCGAATGGAATAACCACCGAATGGAATGTTATGGAATCATCGAAAGGACTCGAATTGAATCATTGATTGGAATCGAATGCAATCATCATCGAATGAAATAAAATGGAATAATCAAATGGACTCGAATAGAATGATCATCAAATGGAATCGAATGAAATCATGGAATGCACTCAAATTTAATCATTGAATGGACTCAAATGGAATCAACGTTGAGTGGAATCGAAAGGAAACATCAAATGGACTTGAATGGAATCATCGAATGCACTCGAATTGAATCATCATTGAATGGAATCAAATGGAATCATCGAATGGACACGAATGGAATCATCATCGAATGGAATCAAGTGGAATCATTGAATGGAATCGAATGGAATCATCAATGAATGTAATCGAATGGAGTCATCGAATGGAGTCCTTTCGAATCATCATCGAATGGAGTCCGTTCGAATCATCATCGAATGGAGTCCGTTCGAATCATCATCGAATGGAACCGAATGCAGTCATCATCAAATGGAATCAGATGGAATTATCGAATGGATTCGAATGGAATCATCATCGAATGGAATCGAATGGAATCATCGAATAGACTCTAAAGCAATCAACAAATGGACTCGAATGGAATCATCATCTAATGGAATGAAAAGGAAACATCGAATGGAATCAAAAGGAATTATCAGCGAGTGGAATCGAATAGAATCATTGAATGGACTTGAATAGAATCATCATTGAATGGAATCGAATGGAAACATCTAATGGCATCGCATGGAAGCATCATCAAATGAAATCGAATGGAATCATTGAATGGCCTTGAATGGAATCATCTTTGGAATCGAATGAAATCATTGAATGGAATTGAAAGGAATGATCATCGAATGATATTGAATGGAATCCTCGAATGTAATCAAATGGAATCATCAAATGGAATTGAACAGAATCATCATCAAATGGAATCGAATGGAATCATCAAATGGAATTGAACAGAATCATCATCGAATAGAATCGAATGGAGTCATTGAATAGAATCATCATCAAATGGAGTCCAATGGAATCATCAAATGCACTCGAATGGAATCATCGAATGGACACGAATCCAATCATCATCGAATGGAAACAAATGAAATCAAAATCGGATGGAATCGATTGGAATCATCACTGAATGGAATTGAATGGAATCATCAAATGGAATCAGATGGAATCATCATCGAATGGAATCTGATAGAAGCATTGAATGAAATCAAATGGAATCATCTTCGAATGGAATTGAAAGGAATCATCATCGAATGGACTCTAATGGAATCATCTTCGAATGGAATTGAATGGAATCATCAACAAATAGAATCGAATGGAGACATCATGGAATTGAATCAAATAGAATCATCATGGAATTGAATCAAATGGCTCAACATCGAATCGGATATAATGGAATCATCATCGTATGGAATTGAATGGAATCATTGAATGGAATGGAATGGAATTATCATTGAATGGAATCGAATGAAACCATTGAATGAAATCGAATGGAATCATCACCGAATGGAGTCGAATGGAATCATCACTGAATGGAATCTGATGGAATCATCAATGAACGGAATCAAATGGAACCATCATCAAATGGAATCTAATGGAATCATGAACGAATGGAATTTAATGGAATCATTGAAAGGAATCCAATGGAATCATCATCAAATAGAACTGAATGGAATCATCGAGTGGACTCGAATGGAATCATCATCAAATGGACTCGAATGGAATCATTATCAAATGGAATCGAATGGTGTTATTGAATGGACTCAAATGGAACATCAAATGAACTCAAATGGAATCATTGAATGGAATCGAATAGAATCATCATCGAATGGAATTGAATAGAATCATTGAATGGAATCTAATGGAATCATCAATGAATGGAATTGAATGGAATCATCAAATGGAATCGAATGGAATCATCATCAGATGGGATCGAATGGAATCATCTAATGGACACGAATGGAATCCTCATCGAATGCAATCAAATGTAATCATCAAATGGAATGGAATGGAATCATCATTGAATGGAATTGAATGTATTCATCGAATTGCATCGAATGGAACCATTGATTGGAATAGAAGGGAATCATCATCGAAAGGAAACAAATAGAATCATCGAATGAAATCGAATGGAATCATCATGAAATGGAGTCGAATGGAATCAACATCGAATGGAATCTAATGGAATCATCAACGAATGGGATCAAATGGAATCATCGAATGGAATCCAATGGAATCATCATCAAATGGAACCGAATGGAATTATCGAATGGACTGCAATGGAATCATCATCGAATGGAATCTAATGGAGTCAATGAATGGACTCGAATGGAATCTTCAACAAATGAAATCTAATTGATTGAAACGAATTGAATGGAATCAACATCGAATGGAATCCAATGGAATCATCACTGAATGGAATCTAATGGAATCATCAAATGGAATCTGATGGAATCACCATCGAATGCAATCATCACTGAATGGAATCAAATGGAATCATCGAATGGAATCTGATGGAATCATCATCGAATGGAATCGAATATAAGCATCGAATGAAATCGAATGGAATCACCATCGAACAGACGCGAAGAGAATTATCATCGAATGGACTCGAATGGAAACATTGTCAAATGGAATCGAATGGAATTATCATCAAATGGAATCGAATGGAACCATCATCGAATGGAATCGAAAGGAAGAGTCAACGAATGGAATCAAATGGAATCCTCGAATGGAATAAAATGGAATCATCATCAAATGGAACTGAATGGAATCATCGAATGGACTCTAATGGAATCATCATTGAATGGAATCGAATGGAACCATCCAATAAACTCGAATGGAATTATCGTTGAATGGAATCGAATGGAAATATCGAATGGAAATGAATGGAATCATCATCGAATGAAATCAAAAGGAATCATCGAATGGACTCAAATGTAATCATCATTGAGTGGAATCAAATGCAATCATTGAATGGACTCGTATGAAATCATCATCAAATGGAATAGAATGGAATCCTCAAATGGAATTGAATGGAATTCTCGAATGGCATCGAATGGAATCATCATCCAATGGAATCATTGAATGGAAACGAAAGGAATCATCATCCAATGAAATCTAATGGAATCTTTGAATGGCATCGTAAGGAATCATCATCAAATGGAACCAAATGGAATCATCTAGTGGACTCGTATGGAATCATCATTGAATGGAATCCAGTGGAATCATCGAATGGACATGAATGGGATCATCATAAAATGGAATCGAGTGGAATCATCGAATGGACACGAATGGGATCATCATCAAATTCAATCAAATGGAATCATCAAATGGAATTGATTAGAATCATCATAGAATGAAATCGAATGGAATCATCGAATGGAATAGAAGGGAATCATCATCGAATGGTATCAAATAGTTTCATCAAATGAAACTGAATGGAATAATCATCAAATGGAATCTAATGGAATAATCATCGAATGGATTCGAATGGAATTTTCAACAAATGGAATAGCATGGAATCATCAAATAGAATCTAATGGAATCATCGTCACCTGAAACCGAATGGAATCATCATGGAGTGGAAACGAGTGGAATCGTCATCAAATGGAATCCAAAGGGATCATCATCGAATGGAATCGAATGGAATCATCATCGAATGGAATCAAAGGGAATCATCAAATTGGAACGAATGGAATCATCGAATGGAATCGAATTGAATCATCAAATGGAGTCGAATGGAATCATCATCAAATGGAATAGTATGGAATCATCGAAAGGACTCGAATGGAACCATCGTTAAATAGAATCGAATGGAATCATCGAATGGACACGAATGGAATCATCATTGAATGCGATCAAATGGAATCATCGAATGGACCCGAAAGGAAACATCCTTAAATGGAAACAAATGGAATCATCGAATGGAATAAAATAGAATCATCAATGAATGGAATCTAAGGGAATAATCGAATGGAGTCGAATGGAATCATGGAATGCACTCGAGTGGAATCATCACTTAATGGAATCGAATGGAATCATCGATTGGACTCGAATGGAATCATCATCAAATGGAATCGAATGGAATCATCGAATGGACTTGAATGGCATCATCATTGAATTTAATCTAATGGAATAATTGAAAGGACTCGAATGGAATCATCACTGAATGGAGTCAGATGGAATCATAGAATGTCTTCGAATGAAATCATCATAGAATGGAATTGAATGTAATCATCGAATGGACTCGAATGGAAACATCATCGAATGGAATCTAATGGAATCTTCGAATGGACACGATTGGAATGATCACCAAATGCAATCAAATGGAAATAACATTGAATGGAATCATCATCGAATGGAATCGAATGGAATTATCCAATGGAAGAGAATTGAATCATCAGTGAATGGAATCGAATAGAATCATTGAATGAAATCGAATGGAATCATCACCGAATGGAATCGAATTGAATCATCAATGAATGGAGTCAAATGGAATCATCATTGAATGGAATCGAATGGAATCATCATCAAATGGAATTGAATGGAATCATCCAATGGAATCAATTGGAATAATCCAATGGAATAGAATTGAATCATCATCGAATGGAATCAAATAGAATCATCGAATGAAGTCGAATGGAATCATCATCGAATGAAATCGAATGGAATCATCAACGAATGGAACCCAATGTAATCATCGTCGAATTGAAACCAATGGATTCATTAAATGGAATTGAATGGAATAATAGAATGGACTTGAACGGGATCATCATCGAATGAAATAGAATGCAATCATCGAATGGATTTGAATGGAATCATCATCGAATGAAATCAAAGGCAATGATCTAATGGACCCGAATGGAATCATCATAGAATGGAATCAAATGGAATCACTGAATGGACTCGAATGGAATCATCATCGAATGGAATCAAAAGGAAACATCGAATGGACTTGAATGGAATCATTGAATGGACTCAAATGGAATCATCATGGTATGGAATCGAATGGAATAATTGAATGGACACGAATGGAATCATCATCGAATGGAATCGAATGGAATCATCAAATGAAATCAAATGGAATCATCATCGAATGGAGTCGAATGGAATCATCATTGAATGGAATCGAAAGGAATCATCATCGAATGGAATCCAATGGAATTATGATCTAATGGAATCGAATGGCATCATCAAAGAATTCAATTGAATGGAGAAATCGAATGGAATGCATTGGAATCATCATCGAATTGAACCGAATTCTGTCATCATCAAATGGAATCAAATGGAGTCATCATTGAATGGAATTGAAAGGAATCATTTTCGAATCGAATAGAATGGTATCATCGAATGGAATAGAATGGAATCATCATTGAAAGAAATCGAAGGGAAGCAACAAATGGAATCGAACGGAATCATCTAATGGAATGGAATGGAGTAATCATCGAATGGAATCAAATGGAATCATCGAATAGATTCGAATGGAATAATCGAATGGACTCGAATGGAATCATCAAATGGAATCAAATGGAATAATCGATTGGACTCAAATGGAATCATCATCAAATGGTATCAGATGGAATCAATGAAGTGACTCGAATGGAATCATCAAATGGACACGAATGGAATCATCATCGAATGGACACGAATGGAATCATCGAATGGAATTGAAAGGAATCATCATGGAATGGAATCGAATGGAATCATGATTGGAATCGAATGGAATCTTCATCGAATGGAACTGAATGCACTCAGCATCGAATGGAATCAAATGGTATCATCAAATGGACTCGATGGAATCAACATCACATGGAATCAAATGGAATCATCTAATCGACTCGAATGGAGTTATCTTTCGGTGGAATCAAATGGAATCATCGAATGCACTTGAATGGAATCATCATTGAATGGAATAGAAAGGAATCATTGAAGAGACTTGAATGGATTCATTGAATGTACTCGAATGGAACCATCATTGAATGGAATCGAATGGAATCATTGAATGGACACTAATGGAATCACCATCGAATGGAATCGAATGGAATCATCACTGAATGGAATTGAATGGAATCGTCATTGAATGGAATCGATAGGAATCATCATCGAATGGAATCTAATGGAATCATCATTTAATGGAAACGAATGAATCATCAACGAACGGAATCAAATGGAGAAATCGAATGGAATCCATTGGAATCATCATCAGATGGAACCAAATGCAGGCATCATTGAATGGAATCTAATGGAATCATCAAATGGACTAGAATGGAATCATCATCAAATGGAATTGAATGGAATCATCGAATGGACTCGAATGGAATGACCATCAAATGGAATCGAATGGAATCATCAAATGGACACAAATGGAATCATCGTTGAATGGAATCAAATGGAATCATCAAATGGCATCCAACGGAATCATGATCGAATGGAATCTAATGGCATCACTGAATGGACTCGAATGGAATCATCGAGTGGACTTGAGTGAAATCATCATGGAATGGAATCCAATGTATACATCGAATGGACTTGAATAGAATCATTACCGAATGGAATTTATTTAAATCATAATCGCATGGAATCGAATGGAATCATCATCGAATGGAGTCGAATGGAATCATAATTTAATAGAATCGAATGGAATCACCGAATTGAATCAAATGGAATGATCATCGAATGGAATTGAAGGGATTCATCAAATGGAATCGAATGGAGTCATCGAATGGAATCGCTTGGAATCATCAAATGGATTCGAATGGAATCATCATCGAATGGAATCGAATGGAGTCATCGAGTGAAATCGAATGGAATCATCATCGAATGGAACCGAATAGAATTGGCATCAAATAGAATCAAATGGAATCATCATCCAATGGAATCGAATGGAATTTTCTTCAAATGGAATCGAATGGAATATTCATCGAAGAGAAATGATTGGGATCATCAAATGAAATCGAATAGAATCATCATCAAAAGAATCGAAGTAAAACAAAGAATGGAATACAAAGGAACCATCGAATGGAATAGAATGGAATCACCATCAAAAGGAATCAAAGTAAACAAGGAATGGAATACAAAGGAATCATCGAATGGAATCGAATGGAATCATCATTGAATGGACTCGAATGGAGTCATAATCGAATGGAATCAAATGGAATCATTTAATGGACTCAAATGGAATCATCGAATGGACTCGAATGGAATAATTGTATGAAATCGGATTTAATTATCATCGAATGAAATCAAATGGAATCATCGAATGGAGTCGAATGGAATCGTCATCGAATGGAATCCTCATCGAATGGAGTCAAATAAAATCATGGAATGCACTCAAATTTAGTCATCAAAATGACTCAAATGGAATCAACGTTGAGTGAAATCGAACGGAAACATCGAATGGACTTGAATGGAATCATCGAATGGAATCGAATGGCATCATCATCAAATGGAATTGAATGGAATCATCAAATAGACACGAATGGAATCATCGTTGAATCATTGAATGGCATCGAATGGAAACATCATCAAATGGAATCTAATGGAATAATCGAATGGACTCGAATGGAATCATCAAAAGGACTCGAGCGGAATCATTATCGATATGGAATCGAATGGAATCATCGAAAGGACACAAAAGGAATCATCATCGAATGGAATCAAGTAGAATCATCGAATGTAATCGAATGGAATTATCATTGAATGGAATCGAATGAAATCATCAATGAATGGAATGGAATGGAGTCATCAAATGGAGTCCGTTGGAATCATCATCGAATGGAACTGAATGCAGTCATCGTCAAATGGAATCAAATGGAATCACTGAATGGACTCATTGGAATCATCATTGCATGGAATTGAATGGAATCATTGCAAGGATTTGAATGCAATCATCGAATGGACTCGAATGGAATCATCATTGAATGGAGTCAAATGGAATCATAATTTAATAGAATCGAATGGAATCACCGAATTGAATCAAATGGAATGATCATCAAATGGAATCGAAGGGATTCATCAAATGGGATCGAACGGAATCATCGAATGGAATCGCTTGGAATCATCAAATGGATTTGAATGGAATCATCATCGAATGGAATCGAATGGAATCATCGAATGGAATCAGATGGAATCATCAACGAATGGAATAGAATAGAATCATCAAATGAAATCGCATGGAATCATCATCGAACGGACCCAAATGGAATCATCATTGAATGGACTCGAATGTAATCATCATCCAATATAATCGAAATAAATCAACATCAAATGGAATCAAATGGAAACACCATCGAATTGAATCCACTGGAATCATCATGGAATTGAAACGAATGGACTCATCATCAAATGGATTCCAATGGAATCATTGAAAGGAATTGATTGGAGTCATGATCAAATGTAATCGAATGGAATCATTGAATGGAATAGAATAGAATCATCATCGAATGGAAATGAATGGAATCATCATAGAATGGAATCGAATGGATTTATCAAATGGAATGAGATGGAATCATCATCGAATGGAATAGAATAGAATCATTGAAAGAAATCGAATGGAATCATCATTGAATGGACTTGAATGGAATCATCATCTAATGGACTCGAATGGAATCATCATCCAATGGAATCAAACGGAATCAACATCGAATGGAATCGAATGGAAAAACCATTGAATTGAATCGAATGGAATCATCATGTAATTGAAATGAATGGACCCATCATCGAATGCATTTGAATGGATTCAACAAATGGAATTGTTTGGAATCATCATCGAATGGAATCGAATGGAATCATTGAAAATAATTGAATCTAATGGAATAATCAAATGGATTCGAATGCAATCATCGACTGGGCTTGAATGGAATCATCAAGGAATGGAATAGAATGGAATCATCGAATGGACTCGAATGGAATCGTCATTGAATGGAATCAGATGGAATCATCAAATGGCCTTGAAAGTAATCATCGAATGGACTCGAATAGAATCATCATTGAATTGAATTGAATGGAATCATAGAATGGTCTCGAATGGAATCATCATTGAATGGAACCGAATAGAATCGGTATCGAATAGAACCGAATGGAATCATCATCCAATGGAATCGAATGGAATTTTCTTCAAATGGAATCGAATGGAATCATCATGGAAGAGAATCCAATGGGTTCATCGAATGAAATCAAATGGAATCACCATCAAAAGAATCGAAGTAAAACAAAGAATGGAATACAAAGGAATCATCAAATGGAATTGAATGGAATCACCATCAAAAAGAATCAAAGTAAAACAAAGAATGGAATACAAAGGAATCATCGAATGGAATTGAAGGGAATCATCATTTAATGGACTCGAATGGAGTCATCATCCAATGGAATCAAATGGAATCATTTTATGGACTCGAATGGAATCATCATTGAATGGAATTGAATGGAATCATCTAATGGTCTCGAATGGAATCATCATCGAATGGAATCCAATGGAGTCATCGAGGGAAATTGAATGGAATCATCATCGAATGGAACCGAATAGAATTGGCATTGAATAGAATCAAATGGAATCATCATCCAATGGAATCGAATGGAATTTTCTTCAGATGGAATTGAATGGAATCATCATCAAAGAGAAATGATTGGGATCATCGAATGAAATCAAATGGAATCATCATCAAAAGAATCGAAGTAAAACAAAGAATGGAATACAAAGGAACCATCGAAGGGAATCGAATGGAATCTCATCAAAAAGAATCAAAGTAAAACAAAGAATGGAATACAAAGGAATCATCGAATGGAATCGAATGGAATCACTGAACGGACTCGAATGGAGTCATAATCGAATGGAATCGAATGGAATCATTTAATGGATTCGAATGGAATCATGGAATGGACTCGAATGGAATCATTGAATGAAATCGGATTAAATTATCATCAAATGAAATCAAATGGAATCATCGAATGGTCTCGAATGGAATCATCATCGAATGGAGTCAAATAAAATCATGGAATGCACTCAAATTTAGTAATCGAATGGACTCAAATGGAATCAACGTCGAGTGGAATCGAAAGGAAACATCGAATGGACTTGAATGGAATCATCGAATGGAATCGAGTGGAATCATCATTGAATGGAATCGAATGGAATCATCAAATGTACACGAATGTAATCATTGTTGAATGGATTCGAAAGAAATCATCGAATGACATCGAATGGAATCATCTTCCAATGGAATCTAATGAAATCATCGAATGGACTCGAAAGGAATCATCGAATGGACTTGAGTGGAATCATCATCAAATGGAATCGAATGGAATCATCGAATGGACTCGAATGGAATCATCATCAAATGGAATTGAATATAATCATAATCAAATGGAATCGAATGGAATATTCATCTATAGGATTCGATTGGAACAATCATTGAATAGAATTGAATGGAATCACCGAATTGAATCAAATGGAAGGATCATGAAATGGAGTTGAAGGGAATCATCGAATGGGATCGAACGGAGCCATCGAATGGAATCAAGTGGAATCATTGAATAGATTCCAATGGAATCATCATTGAATGGAATCGAATGCAATCATTGAATGGACTCGAATGGAATCATCATCGAATGGAATTGAATGGAATTATTGAATGGACACGAATGCAATCATCATTGAATGGACTCGAATGGAATCATCAAATGGAGTCGAATGTAATCATCATCGAATGGAATCGAATGGAATCTTCGAATAGAATTGAATGGAATCATCATCGAATGGAGTCAAATGGAATCATCGAATGGACTCAAATGGAATCGTCATGGAATGTAATCGAATGGAATCTTCGAATGGAATCGAATGGAATCCCCATAGAATGCAATTGAATGGAATCATCATCGAATGGAATTGAATTTAATCATCAAATGGAAAAGAATTGAATAATCATCGAATGGAATCGAATAGAACAATTGAATGAAATCGAACGGAATCATCTTCGAATGGAATTGAATGGAATCATCAATGAATGGAATCGAATGGAAACATAGAATGGAATCCAAAGTAATCGTCATCAAATTGAACCCAATGCTATCATTAAATGGACTCGAATGGAATCATCGAATGGACTCGAATGGAATCATCATCAAATGGAATAGAAAGGAATCATTGAATGCAATCGAAGGGAATCATCACCAAATGAAATCAAATGAAATCATCGAATGGACTCGTATGGAATCAACATTGAATGGAATCGAATGGAATCATTGAATGGACTCGAATGGAATCATCATTGAATGGAATTGAAAGGAATCATCAAATGGATTTGAATGGAATCACTGAAAGTTCTCAAATGGAATCATCATTGAATAGAAACGAATGGAAGCATCAAATGGAATCGAATGGAATCATCATTGATTGGAATGGAATGGAATTGTCATCGAATGGAATTGAATGGAATCATCAACGAATGGAACCGAATGGAGAAATCGAATAGAATCCGTTGGAATCATCATGAATGGAATCGAATATAGTCGTCATCTAATGGAATCGAATGAAATCATCATTGAATGGAATTGAATGGAATCATCAGCAAATGGAATCGAAAGGAATCATTATGGAATAGAATCGAATGGAATCATTGAATGGAATGTAATGGAATCATCAAAGAAAGGAATCGAAGGGAATCATCGAATGGAATCGAATGTAATCATTTAACGGAATCGAATGGAATCATCATCAAATGGACTCGAATGGAATTATCATTGAATGGAATCAAATGGAATCATTGAATGGACACGAATGGAATCATCATCAAATGGAATCGGATGGAATCAACGAAGGGACTCAAAAAGAATCATCGAATGGACACGAATGGAATCATCATTGAATGAAATTGAAAGGAATCATCGAATGGACTCGACTGGAATCATCATTGAATGGAATCAAATGTGATCATCATCAAAAGAAATCCAATGGAATCACTGAATGGACTCAAAAATGATGATCAAATGGAAGCGAATGGAATCATCAAATGGAATAGAATGGAATCACCGAATGGACTCGAATGGAGTCATTGAATGGACTCTAACGGAATCATCATCAAATGGAATCGAATGGAATCATCAAATGGACTCGAATGGAATCATTGAATGGACTCGAATGAAATCATCGAATGGACTCGAATAGAATCAAAATCGGATGGAATCATATGGAATCCTCGAATAGAGTCAAATGGAATCATCAAATGGAATCGAACGGTATCATCAATGAATGAAATCGAATGGAATCATTGAATGGAATTGAAGGCAATCATCATCTAATGGAATCAAGTGGAATCATCGAATGGAATCGAAGGGAATCATTGTCGAATGGAATCGAATGGAATCAGTGAACTGAATTGAATGGAATCACCAATGAATGGAATCAAATGGAATCATCATCGAATGGAATCGAATGGAATCTTCGAATGGACTCAAAAGGAATCATCATTGAATGGAATCCTGTGGAATAATCTAATGGGCACGAATGCAATCATCATCGAATGGAATCGAATGGAATCATCTAATGTACTAGAATGTAATCATCATTGAATGGAATAGAATGGAATCATCGAATGGAATTGAAAGGAATCATCATCGTATGGAATTGAGTAGAATCATCGAAAGGACTCAAATGTAACCATTGGAGAATGGAATCAAATGGAATCATCGAATGGACTCGAATGAAATCATCATTGAATGGAATCTAATAGAATCATTGAATGGAATCGAATGGAATCATCATCGAATGGAATCAAATGGAATAATCATGGAATGGAATCAAAAGCAATCATCCTCGAATGGACTCGAATGAAATCATCGAATGTACTCAAAAGGAATCTTCGAATGGCCCTGATTGGAATCATCATCAAATGGAATCGAATGGAATAATCATGGAATGGAATCAAAAGCAATCATCCTCAAATGGACTCGAATGAAATCATCGAATGTACTCAAAAGGAATCATCAAATGGAATTGAATGGAATCTTCGAATGGCCCCGAATGGAATCATCATCGAATGGAATCGAATGGAATCATTGAACGGACTCGAATGGAATCATGATCGAATGGAATCAAATGGAATCATCTAATAGAATCGAATGGAATCATAATCGAATGAAAACGAATGGAATCATTGAATGATGTCAAATGTAATCATCATCGAATGGAATCGAATGGAATCATTGAATAGACCCGAATGCAATCATCAGCGAATGGAATTGAATGGAATCATTGAATGGGCTCGAATAGAATCATCATCGAATGGAATCGAATGGAATCATAATCGAATATAATAAAAAGCAATCATCAAATGGATTCGAATAGAATCATCAAATGGCTCGAATGGAATTATCATCGAATGGAATCAAATGGAATCATCTAAGGGACTCGAATGGAATCGTCATCAAATGGAATCAAATGTAATCATGAAATGGACTCGAATGGAATCATCATCGAATGTAAACAAATAGAGTCACTGAAAGGACTCGAATGGAATCATCATCGAATGGAATCAAAGGGAATACATAAATGAACTCGAATGGAATCATCATCGAATGGAATTGAAAGGAATCATCGAATGGATTCGAAAGGAATCATCATCGAATGAAATTGAATGGAATCACTGAATGGACACGAATGGAATCATCATCGAATGGAATCGAATGGAATCATCGAATTGACTCGAATGGAATCATCGTCGAATGGAATTGAAAGCAATCATCGAATGGATTCAAATGGAATTATCAAATGGACTCGAATGGAATCATTATCAAATGGAATCGAATGGTGTTATTGAATGGACTCAAATGGAACATCAAATGAACTCAAATGGAATCATTGAATGGAATCGAATAGAATCATCATCGAATGGAATTGAATAGAATCATTGAATGGAATCGAATGGAATCATCAATGAATGGAATTGAATGGAATCATCAAATGGAATCGAATGGAATCATCATCAGATGGGATCGAATGGAATCATCTAATGGACACGAATGGAATCCTCATCGAATGCAATCAAATGTAATCATCAAATGGAATGGAATGGAATCATCATTGAATGGAATTGAATGTATTCATCGAATTGCATCGAATGGAACCATTGATTGGAATAGAAGGGAATCATCATCGAAAGGAAACAAATAGAATCATCGAATGAAATCGAATGGAATCATCATGAAATGGAGTCGATT